>NW_015495298.1:0-278659 GCF_000001405.40 Homo sapiens
GAATTCCTTGTTAGGAAGTGTGTTTAAAGTTAATATGATAAAAAAGAGGCAACAGAGGGGAGGGTGTAAAAGAAGAGAAAGTGCACCAAACCTGTGCGTTTCACAGAGGAAGCTCTGTCCTCACAGCTTAGTGAACATGAATGATCCTCTCTCTGATTCCCTGTCTGTAAAAGGTTGTTTTGAACTCCAGGAAAGGTAAGTGACATGGGAAATGCGTGCTTCTGGGATGGAGGTGAGGGAGTAGGCACGAGAGTGGTACAAAGTGACAGGTGGTTTGCAGATGTGGCCATGTCAGGGAGCCTCTGAAAGCAGGTAGCCCTAGCTGATGTCCCTAGACCTTGCTCAGGTCAGTTCTTTGGGCATCTCTTCCACTGGGCTCCTGTGGCCCAGAGATGAAGCTTTCTGCTGGAAGATGAAGAAAAAAGGCTTTAGAGTTTTTATGGCCTTGAACCAATCACACCAGTGATGGTGAAAGGACTGAGCCTAAAATGGGACTGCCTCTGAATGATCCAAGTCCTCATCAGGCAGCACCTTGCGGGAGGACCATGATTAGATGATGAGAACAAACTTGTGTTTGGGCAAAACAGGCTCTTCCCTTGACGTTATTTTCTACCACCGTCCTCTAACTGGTGCCATTGCCCAGTACTAACTTCTTGCTCTCCCCAGGTGCCTCAGGAGCCCGTTGGAGACATTGGCATTAACTTATGGCTTCCTAGAAGAAGAGGACTTGAAATGCCTGCCCCGGTACCCAAGTCTCAGTCAACTGAAGCAGCTGAATCTGAGTCATGGTGCACTGCGCTTCATCCGTCTTGAGCCCCTCCGAGCTCTGCTAGAGAAAGTTGCTGCCACTCTTCAGACCCTCTTCTTAGTGGACTGTGGGATTGGGTACTCCAAACTCAGGGTCATCCTGCCTGCCCTGAGCCGCTGCTCCAACCTCACCACTTTCTGTTTTCACGGCAATGACACGTCCATGGATGCTCTGAAGGACCTGCTGCGCCACACAGGCAGGCTGAGCAATTTGAGCCTGGAAACATATCCTGCCCCTCGGGAGAGTCTTGACAACAGGGGTCGTGTCATTTTGGAGCTCCTCACCCCACTTCAGGCTGAGCTGATGCGTATACTGAGGGAAGTAAGGGAGCCCAAAAGGATCTTCTTTGGTCCGGTGTCCTGCCCTTGCTGTGGCACTTCGCCCACTGAGCAACTGGAGTTCAATTTTTGCTTGTGGGGAAGGCCTGCCTAGTGGGGTGGAGGTATAAAAAGCTTTTTCTCCAGGCACTTGGAAACTAAAATCTGGGACATAGATGTCTTTTATTTTTCTTTTTCCTTATTTTACAATTTTACAGCTTTTATTTAAAAATTTGAGACAGGGTTTCCCTATGTTGTCCAGGCTGGTCTCAAACTCTTACGCTTAAGGGAGCCCCCTGCTTGGCCTCCCAAGATTCTGGGATTACAGGCATAAGCAGCTGTGCCGGGTCTATAGGTGCATTATAAAGGGAACAGAGAAACCTCTGTTTCAGGCATGTGCTTTCTGTGAGTGGAAAACAAAAAACAAAAAATCCCAGCAGGGGGCAGCACTGGGGAAAAAGTTGAATGGAGTCACTGAGACTCAGGGATCTGTGTCCTAGACAGTCAGAAATAGAAAGCTGAAGTTCTAGAGTGAGGGAGTTATCTCAGCAAGGATGGATACAAAGAAACGTCGGAAGTAGAGGGAACCTAAATGGAAACTCTCTGCTGTCCTTCATGATTGATTAGCCTGTTTCAGCAATTTATACATCAGAAATCTTTAGTTCCTGATGAATTAAAAAAAGAGGTACTAGTTCATCTGTGATTTAGTTTCATCTGCAGGAAATAAAGGAATCAAAATAAACTTCATGTTGTCGTTGTGGTTTTTTTTTCTTTTTTTTTTTGTTTTGTTTTAGACGGAGATTCGCTCTTGTTGCCCAGGCTGGAGTGAAATGGCATGATCTTGGCTCACCACAACCTCCGCCTCCTGGGTTCAAGCGATTTTCCTGCCTCAGCCTCCCGAGTAGCTGGGATCACAGGCATGCGCCACCATGCCCAGCTAATTTTGTATTTTTATTAGAAACGGCATTTCTCCATGTTGATCAGGCTGGTCTCGAACTCCTGACCTCAGGTAATCTGCCCACCTTGGCCTCCCAAAGTGCTAGGATTACAGGCATGAGCCACAGAGCCTGACCTGTTTTGTTTGTTTGTTTTGTTTATTTGATGGAGTCTTGCTTGGTCACCTAGGCTGGAGTGCAGTGGTGTGATCTTGGCTCACTGCAACCTCCAACTCCCAGGTTCAAGGGAATTTGTGTTTTTAGTAGAGACGGGGTTTCACGATGTTGGCCTGACTGGTCTCAAACTCCTAACCTCAAGTGACCTCAAGGAAGCCTCCCAAAGTGCTAGGATTACAGGCGTGAACCAACGTGCCTAGCCTAAACTTTGATTAATTTATGCCCATTCTTTACCTCTCCAGTCATCTCTTCCTTACTTTCTCCTGTGGTTATTTACTGGGTTCATCCACAAAAGATGCATGCCTGGGACCTGGAACATTCTATGTGGGCAGTGATGATGAACCATTGAGTCAACCCTCTTCTTGTCAGGGGCCCTCACTGCTCCCCAGATACCGAGACCCTGCTCACTCCTAATGGGCAGATCTGGGAGAATCTGTTCCTGATCATTGGCCATGTCAGGAAAGGGCTTCACTGCACAAGGTGCGGCCCCCTGCCTTGGGAGGGAATGGCCATACTGTGTACTAGCGGGAGCCTCATGGCATCACCAACCCTTGCCTGTCCTCATGGTGGCTAGTGGGTTTTACTGAATTAACATAATTGTGTGTAGTAAAGATGTCCAATTTCTCTTAGAAGAATAGTAAAATCATTTAGGTAGATGACACATTCTAAATATTTCTAGCCCACATCAATATGCATCCTTTTGGAAATTAACTCATTTCAATGAGACATCTTCCTGTAACACCTCCCTTCTCTCCTTATCAAAAAACGGGAAAACCAGGGCACTGACCTGTCCTCATGGTGACTAGTGGGGTTTACTGAATTAAAGTGATTGTGTCCAGTAAAGATATCCAATTTCTCTTAGAATAATGCTAAAATCATTTAGGTGGATAATACATTCTAAATATTTCCAGCCCATATTAATGGAAATATACATCCTTTTGGAAACTAACTCATTTCAATGAGAGATCTTCCTATCACACCACCCTTCTCTCCTTATCAAAAAACAGGAAAACCTGGGCTTGACCTAGCTAGCGCTCCTACACTGCCATGAGAATCCCTTTGGGACTTTCCCCATTTGGGACTGGCAGCACTCTTGTGGTTTACTAAAACTTAGGTAAACCTGGGCTTAAGCCACCACCTGGAGCCAAGAAGGAAGCAGCAACCTAGTGGTGAAGATTCACTAAGGGAATGTATTCAGTCCAAACCAAAGCAAGCCAGACAGAGAAAACTGGAGTAAATCATTCTTCCTTCAGTGCAAAAATACAGATCTATATCTACAAGAAACTAGAGCAAACAGGAAACTGTGACCTCCCCAAAATGACAAAGCAGAAATCTAGTGGGTGACTCTAATGTGATGGCTATTTGTCAGGTCTCTAACCAATCACTGAAAATCGCAGGTTTTCAAACTTGTATTTTAGTTCCAGGAATACAGATGCAGGTTTGTTCTATAGATAATAGACAAACTATCAGATAAATAATTTTGGTAGCTTTTGTTTATTTGTTTGTTTGTTTGTTTTTTGAGGTGGCGTCTCACTCTGTCACCCAGGCTGGAGTGTAGTGGCATGCTCTCAGCTCACTGCAACCTCTGCCTCCCAGAGTCAAGCAATTCTCCTGCCTCGGCCTCCCAAGTAGCTGAGACTACAGACTTGCATTACCACGCCAGGCTAAGTTTTTGCATTTTTAGTAGAGACAGGGTTTCACCATGTTGGACATGGAGAACTCCTGACCTCAAATGGTGCACTGCCTCAGTGCTGGGATTAGAGGTGTGAGCCACCATGTCCAGCCAGTTTTGGTAGTTTGTTGATACCCACTCCCCTTCCACCCTCCACTCTCCAGTAGTCCCGGGCGTCTATTGTTCCCATTATTATGTCATGTATACTTAATATTTGGCTCTCATTTATAAGTGAGAACATGTGGTGTTTGGTTTTCTGTGCCTGCTTTAGTTTGCTTAGCATAACGGCTTCTAGCTCCATCCGTGTTGCAGCAAAAGGAGGATGAGGACTTAATGAAAGGGCATTATCTTGTTCTTGTTTCAAGCTGTGTAGGTTTCCATGGTGTATCTGTACCATATTTTGTTAATCCAGTCCACCACTGATGTGCATTCCAGTGGATTCCATGTCTTTGCTGTTGTGAATAGTGCTGCGATGAGCATCCACATGTGACCACTCCCACTCAACATGTGCTAGAGTCTCACATTACTGGAGTGTCTCTATATTACCCGGGCTGGTCCAGAACGGCCAGGCTCAGGCAGGGCTCCAATCTTAGCCTTACAAAGTATTGGGATTACAGGCATGAGCCACCACACATGGCTCTATTTTATTATAACATATATTTCTAGGCCGGGTGTGGTGGCTCACGCCTGTAATCCCAGCACTTTGGGAGGCCAAGGCGGGTGGATCACGAGGTCAAGAGATGGAGACCATCCTGGCCAACATGGTGAAACCCCGTCTCTACTAAAAATACAAAAATTAGCTGGGCATGGTGGCACGTGCCTGTAATCCCAGCTACTCAGGAGGCTGAGTCAAGGAGAATCGCTTGAACCCGGGAGGCGGAGATTGCAGTGAGCCGAGATCGTGCTGCTGCACTGCAGCCTGGGCAAAGAGTGAGACTCCCTCTCAAAAAAAAAAAAAAGCTATAATTCTATAGGCCAAGCAAGGTGGCTCACGCCTGTAATTCCAGCACTTTGGGAGGCCGATGTGGGTGGATTGCTTGAACCAAGGAGTTCTAGCCTGGGCAACAAAGCAAAATCCTGTCTCTACTTAAAAAGGAAAAAAAGGATATATTTCTGTAGCTTATGGCCTGTAGGCTCGCCATGCCTCAGGCTCGAAAGTGCAGCTTTCAGAAAAGATCCTTCACTGGTATTTCCAGGGAGGAAGTGATGAGGCAGGAATTTATGCTGAGTGGGTTGGCCAAGTATACACACTCAACAGGTCATGAAATGGGCTATGAGTATTCTTGAAGGGGGCCTAACACATGCATACTGAATAAACATTCATGTGGCTTATGTCCCATGTTCACTTTGGGGTGGAGACTTCACATTTCTTTTTCTTTTTGAGACAGAGTCTTGCTATGTCACCCAGGCTGGACTGCAATGGCACCGTATCAGCTCACTGCATCCTCCACCTCCCAGGTTCAAGCGATTCTCCTGTGTCAGCCAAGTAGCTGAGACTACAGGTACATGCCACCACACCTGGCTACTTTTTTTTTTTTTTTTTTTTTTTGAGATGGAGTCTTGCTCTGTCACCCAGGCTGGAGTGCAGTGGTGCAATCTCTGCTCACTGCAAGCTCCACTTCCCGGGTTCACGCCATTCTCCTGCCTCAGCCTCCCCAGCAGCTCGGACTACAGGCACACGCCGCCACGCCCAGCTAATTTTTGTATTTTTAGTAGAGACGGGGTTTCTCTGTGTTAACCAGGATTGTCTCGATCTCCTGACCTTGTGATCCGCCCTCCTAGGCCTCCCAAAGTGCTGGGATTACAGGCGTGAGCCACCGCGCCTGGCCCACTTTTTCTATTTTTAGTAGCGATAGGGTTTCACTATGTTGGCCAGGCTGGTCTGGAACGCCTGACCTCAGGTGATCTGCCGCCTCGGTCTCCCAGAGTGTTCCAAAGTGCTGGGATTACAGGCGTGAGCCACCGTGCTGCGCCGAGACTTCATGTTTCAATGCATTGCAGCTAGACCCCCCCATATCAAATGGTTCATCAGGGACATGAAGACGCTCGCGTGCTAAGTCTCTTTCAAGTGGCCAGAAGCAGTCAATGCTCAGAGGCCTCTCATCAGCAGAAAGTTACTGGAATCAATCTCTTGTCCAATCAAAGCTGGAGTCATGGCTTGTGGAACAGGGGGTCAGTTAGTCAGAATCTGGGATGGATGAGCTGCAATCATTTCAATATTGCTTATCTTAGGGCCAGTGCTTGTTCAGCTGCTAGAGAGAGAAAAACCCTGTGGCAGTTAGAATATAGTTCATTCAGCTGGGCACAGTGGCTCTTGCCTGTAATCCCAGCACTTTGGGAGGCTGAGGCGGGTGGATAATGAGGTCAGCAGGTCAAGACCAGCCTGGCCAACATGGTGAAACCCTGTCTGTACTAAAAATACAAAAAATTAGCCAGGTGTGGTGGCATGCACCTGTAATC
Source organism: Homo sapiens (assembly GCF_000001405.40). Classification (NCBI taxonomy): domain Eukaryota; kingdom Metazoa; phylum Chordata; class Mammalia; order Primates; family Hominidae; genus Homo; species Homo sapiens. Next base: position 6,370 of record NW_015495298.1, read on the forward strand.
CCAGCTACTCGGGAGGCTGAGGCAGGAGAATTGCTTGAACCTGGGAGGCAGAGGTTGCAGTGAGCCAAGATCATGCCACTGCACTTCAGCCTGGGCTACAAAGCGAGACGCTGCCTCAAAAAAAAAAAAAAAAAAAAGTATATAGTTCATTTTTTAAGGGTAGGGGCCCTTGACTTAACCCTTGCCTGGTAAGACCTTAGGTCCTGTATATAACTTGGTATCTTATTACCCTAAATAGTCAATTCAGTCAGCCTTATAATCTCTATTTTAACATGAATGCTGGTCAGTTTTTGTGTCTCAACCATGAAAGGAAGGAAGTAAAATGAGACGTGTCTATCCTCCCATCCTGCCATGGCCAGGAACTCAGTTTTAAAGATTTCTCTGGGTACACTTGGCCGAGAGGGAATCTGTTCAGTTCATAGGGGGAGCTTAGGATTTTATTTTTAGTTTTCAGAACGAGGGATGAATAATCATGGAGGCTTCTGCTGGGAGGGAAAAAGTAGAAAAAATGCATTAATTTCACTCTTCCTGTATGCCAGGCCCTATGCCAAGCCCTTAAGTTGCCCCATCTCATTCGATTCTACCAGGGTCACACAGGTGGTGGACATCATCATCCTCATTTTTCAGGAAAACTGAGGCTCTCGCCCAAGGTTCCTGCCCAACAACACCAGGCCCTGAGTTCTCAGCATGGTCCTCACTCAGATACTCTTTGTGTAGGGTTTCTTACCTGAGTCCTCAGCAGGGTCCTCACCTGGATGCCGTTTGTGTAGGGTTTCTCATCTGAATCCTCTGCAGGGTCCTCACTCGGATGTCCTTTGTGTAGGGTTTCTCACCTGAGTCCTCAGCAGGGTCCTCACTTGGATGCCCTTTGTGTAGGGTTTCTCATCTGAGTCCTGAGCAGGGTCCTCACTCAGATGTCCTTTGTGTAGGGTTTCTCATCTGAGTCCTGAGCAGGGTCCTCACTCGGATGTCCTTTGTGTAGGGTTTCTCACCTGAGTCCTCAGCAGGGTCCTCACTTGGATGCCCTTTGTGTAGGGTTTCTCATCTGAGTCCTGAGCAGGGTCCTCACTCGGATGCCCTTTTTGTAGGGTTTCTCATCTGAGTCCTGAGCAGGGTCCTCACTCGGATGTCCTTCGTGTAGGATTTCTCACCTGAGTCCCCAGCAGGGTCCTCACTCAGATGCCCTTTGTGTAGGGTTTCTCACCATAGGGAAAGTCACTCATCACCCACAGGCACTTGACTATTATCTGCCCTCGAAGGATGTGCGATTCCAAAACACGCTTGCTCTGAGAAAAACCAGGGCCGTATCATTTTCCCCGCCAAACCGGAAAGGAGCCAAGAGATCAAAGGATGACTCAGATGAGCCCAGCTTGGCAAATAATGAGTTGATTAGGATTCACATGCAGGGCACTCCAGGGCAGCAGCAGCACAGCCCCAAAGATCTGTGCCACCTCCTGTCTCTAAACTGCTTTTAAGTGAATTTTCTGGCTCTTTGTCCACTGATTTTGAGCAATCAGCCTCTTCTGCCTGGTAGGTTCTCAGATACTGTCTGGGATGTTTGGGTTCTCGGGGACACCTGCTTCTTGGCTGGGCACAAGAGACTTGGCTTCCCACCTGGCCTTCAGGGTTCAGGCAGGGGACATGCACCCTTAAGTAACCTGATGGGACATGCCACACCAGAATTCTATACACTTGAAGTGGGGCCAGCCTCTCCACACCTGTGGTTACTTCTCATCAGGTGGGATGAGAGACTGAGGAAAGAAATAAGACACAGAGACAAAGTATAGAGAAAGAAATTGGGCCCAGGGGACCGGCGCTCAGCATACGGAGGACCTGCACTAGCACTGGTCTCTGAGTTCTCTCAGTTTTTATTGATTACTGTTTTCACTATCTCATCAAGGGGAACGTGGCAGGAGAGCAGGGTGATAGAGGGGAGAAGGTCAGCAAGAAAACATGTGAGCAAAGGAATCTGTGTCACAAATAAGTTCAAGGGAAGGTTCTATGCCTGGATGTGCACATAGGCCAGATTTATGCTTTTCTCCACCCAAACATCTCAATGGAGTAAAGAGTAACAAAGCAGCATTGCTCCCAACATGTCCCACCTCCTGCCACAAGGCGGTTTTTCTCCTATCTCAGAATGGAACAAATGTACAGTCGGGTTTTATACCAAGACATTGCATTCCCAGGGGCAGGCAGGAGACAGAGGTCTTCCTCTTATCTCAGCTGCAAGAAGCCTTCCTCTTTTACTAATCCTCCTCAGCACAGACCCTTCACGGGTGTCGGGCTTGGGGACGGTCAGGTCTTTCCCATCCCATGAGGTCATATTTCAGACTATCACATGGGGAGAAACCTTGGACAATACCTGGCTTTCCAGGGCAGAGGTCCCTGCAGCTTTCCACAGTGCATTGTGCCCCTGGTTACTTGAGAATGAAGAACGGCGATGACTTTTATCAAGCACACTGCCTGTAAATATTTTGTAAACAAGGCACATCCTGCACAGCCCTAGATCCCTTAAACCTCGATTCCATACAACACATGTTTCTGTGAGCTCAAGGTTGGGGCTAAAGTTACAAATTAACAGCATCTCAGGGCAAAGCAATTGTTCAGGGTACAGATAAAAATGAAATTTCTTATGTCTTCCTTTTCTACATAGACACAGTAACCGTCTGATCTCTCTTTCTTTTCCCTACATATCCCCCTTTTCTTTTTGAGAAAACCGCCATCATCATCATGGCCCGTTCTCACTGGTCGCTCTCTCTTTGGAGCTGCTGGATACACCTGTAGACTAACAACAGACAAAACAGATATACCAGGATTAATATGAAATTACAACAGTTGAATTTCTGATGGTTTTAACCCAAGTGACAGGGTTAAGATTTGTGAGGCCATCAGCAACTTTCATGATTGCCTCAGTTTCTGGCACCAAATTTAAATGGGCTTTTGATGCCTCAAAAACTTGTTCTTTTAATTTTAAAATATCTAAAGTAAGATTATCTTCTCTTCCTTGTAGTTGGCGTCATGTCCCAGTGATGCTCAGACTCATTATACGCTTGGGGTTTAATACAAAAATCTGACATATTCCAGTCATACTGTAACTGAAAAAGATATTCCAAGCTCATGAGCCTATCTCCCATCCAAATGACAGTTTGTCTAAGATCATTAATTTGGTTTGCCAATTTTTGATCTATTTGGGTCTGAGAATTCCACAATTTTGAGGAATTCTTTTGCCAATTATTTACATATTCTGCAGTTTGAACAGAGAAGTGTAAAGCAATTCCAGCAGCCACAGCAGTAGCTGTGACTGCAATAAGACCCAAAATCACTGCAATCAAAGTAAAAAAGAATCTTTTGGATCTAGTTAGAACTCCTTTCAATACTTCTGTTAAAATATGGACAGATGGGGAAGCCTCCCACTGTCAGTCCATGGACACAGGGATCCCCATGCCCTCTCTTGCCCTCACCAGCAGAATACGGTGCTGCCAATCAAAAGTCGAATCAATGCAAGTAAACAATCTACTGTTTTCACAGGTTATAGTTTGGGAATCTGGTTTAATAACTATGTTTCCTACAACTAGCATATAAGGGGGTTTTACACAACTTTGCAAAGGAATTGTCGGATTGGAATTTAAGTTAATAGTATAATATGGCTTACGATCTCTTGTTCCTATAGCTTGATTTTCAGACCAAATTCTAATGTGGTGTGAGGCCACAGTAAGCTTTCATAATTCTGGATGTTCAGGACCAGTAACAGGACTAACTAACTTTGGTCGAGGTGATGAAATTCGCTTTTCACCCCATTTCCATGGATAGGGTGATTGTAACTTTCTATAAACCTGATCCAGCCTTTCAGTTAAATCACTCTCATAGGCCAGATTAATGGGCCAGATGGATGGGGCTGTGAACATGAGAGAGTCTGGCCTGTACAATTATAATAAAATTGGCCTCGAGGGGCCCGGTCTATAATAGTTCTAAATTCATTGTTTTGTAATACCACCGCAGTATCAGCCACACATTCTTCCCAAACTGAAACTTTTGGACCTTTTGATTCTTTGGGAATTTTCTTGGGGCAAGGCTTCCCCTTAGGCCTAAATTTTAATGATCTTTGATAAGAAGAGTCCTGTAAATTATTTTATCTGTGGCCCGAGTGACATCCCACTTACTATGTGATAAGTAAATCTACTGGTGGCACTGACAGTAGGTACTTCTACCAACCAATTTGGGGTTGTAGGCATTAAATATCCTGGCACCTTCCCTTGGCAAATAGGAGGATAATGATACCCAGTGGAAATATTTATCATCAATTCTTTTTTAGGTTGGGCAGGGCAACGATCATCTGTGAGGCCTGGTACCCATGCACTATTATTAACATATACTTCAATAGGATTATCCATCCATGTGACTGCCTGAATTAAGGGCGGGAAAGGCACACAGTCCCGGTAAGTATGATTAGTTGTGGCTGCTCCTGCAGTCACAGGGAGACTTACCACCGTTGATACAATCATCAAAGCTGCAGGCAGCATGTTCTCTGGAGTTTGTGTTACCCTTTTTGTTCTTCAGGCTTTTTTCAGCTAACTGTGTCAGCTTCTTTAATTGGGCCCAGGTCAGTGGCCCCACTTTCTTGGTGGATGGCAGCTTCATCTGTTCTTCTGATATCACCATTTTGTTCACCCGGTGAGTCGATGATGCTCGATTGCGGGTTTTCCATCTCCGTGGTGGCGCTTCTCTTTGCATCTCCGATGGGTTCATTGTAGAACTTTAAATGTCTAGTGGGTATCCAAACAGGAAGCTGATTTTCTCCTGGTGAAACACAAGCAAAACCTCTCCCCCATGTTATCATTTTCCCTATTTCCCTTGTCTTATTTTTGTTGTCTTTCCACCAAATCAGTTTTCCTTCATGTGGGCTGTTCTTTTTACCAGTAAAATGTTGCTCTGCAGAAGTAGTGGTCTGATTTCTATAAATGTTTAAAAAATTTAAAGTATAGAGTGCTAAATTAAGTTGCATCTGGGGAGTGTTATACTGCTTAATGTCTTTTTCCTTTTTTTGTTTCACCAATTCAGCTTTGAGTGTTCTATTAGTTCTTTCAATTATGGCCTGTCCTTGGGAATTATAGGGGATTCCTGTTGTATGTGTAATTTGTCACTGATTTCACAATTTTTAAAATGTTTTACTACAGTATCCTGGCCCATTACGTGTTTTAATTTTTTTTTGGAACTCCCATGACAGCAAAACAAGATAATAAATGTCTTTTAACATGGGAAGTACTTTCTCCTGTCTGGCAGGTTGCCCATACAACATGCAGATAAGAATCAACTGTCACATGGACAAACGACGATTTTCCAAATGAAGGTACATGTGTGACATCCATTTGCCATAATGCATTAGGACATAGACCTCTGGGATTAACTCCTGCCTCCTGAGTGGGCAGGTGTAGGACTTGACACTGGGTGCAATGTTGTACAATATTTTTTGCCTGTTTCCATGTGATATCAAATTTATTTTTTAGTCCTGTTGCATTTACATGAGTCAAAGCATGAAGTTCTTGTGCTTCTATGAATGCAGATGATACTAGCAAGTCAGCTTGTTCATTTGCTTTAGTTAAAGGCCTTGGTAAATTAGTATGTGCTCATATATGAGTAATATAAAATGGGAGATTTCTTTTTCTTACAATTTGTTGTAACAAATAAAAGGACTGGTTTAACTGATCATCCATACTATATTTGGTTAGGGCTGTCTCAACATCCTTTGTAGCTGTACTACATATGCAGAATCTGATTTTCAATGACTCATTCTTTCGGCCTGGTGTAAACCACTTTTCCATTGCTGGAACCATCAGTAAACACAGTCAGAGCATTTTCTAAAGGTTTATGTCTGGTAATTTTAGGTAAAATTCAAGTAGTCAATTTTAAAAACTGGAAGATTTTTGTTTTTGGGTAATGGTTATCAATAATTCCCACAAAATCAGCAAGAGCAATCTGCCATGCAGCAGAATTGATAAAGCCTTGTCTAAACTCTTCCTTGTTTAAAGGAACAATGATTTTATCTGGGTCACTTCCACACAATTTTATTATTTGTAATCTTGCCTGACCAATTAATGTAGCCATTTGATCCAAGTACAATGTAAAAGTCTTAATCGTACTGTCAGGAAGGAAAGATCACTCCACAAGATCTGTATTTTGAACAATAATGCCTGTTGAGAATATGCAGTAGCAAAAATCAAAAGTTGGAGTGGGGCGAAGTGATCTATTCTATTTACTTGTGCTGACCGAATTTTTTCTTCAATTAATTCAATTTCTTTAGTTGCCTCTGGAGTTAATGTTCTTTTACTATTCAATTCTGGATCCCCACTCAAGATAGAGAACAAATTTGACATGGCATAAGTAAGGATGCCTAGAATTGACCAAATCCAATTAATATCTCCTAGCAATTTATGAAAGTCGTTTAATGTTTTTAATGTCTTTTCTTATTTCTATTTTTTGTTGTTTAAATTTTCTTTCCTCTACCTGCATTCCCAAGTAATGGACAGGAGTAGAGGTTTGAATCTTATCAGATGCTATTGTCAGTCCTGAGTTTGCAACCTCTGTCTGCAGAAATGTGTGACAGTCAATTAATGTGTCTCTCGTTTCTGCAGCACACAAAAGATCATCAACATAATGAAAGACGTAGTCTGAAAACTTGTCTCTAACTGGTTGAAGAGCTTCAGCTACAAAAATCTGACAAATAGTTGGACAATTAAGCATTCCCTGAGGCAACACTTTCCACTGAAACCTGGTGGCTGGTTCTTTATTATTTATGGCTGGTATAGTAAAAGCAAATTTTTCAAAATCCTGTTTTGCTAGAGGAATGGTAAAAAAGCAATCCTTCAGATCAATTATAATTAAAGGCCAATCTTTGGGGATCATGGCCAGAGAGGGCAACCCAGGTTGGAGAGCCCCCATAGGTTGAATTACAGCATTGACGGCTCTTAAGTCGGTTAACATGTGCCATCTGCTGGATTTTTTCTGAGTTACAAACACAGGAGAATTCAAGGCGAAAATGAAGGCTCAATATGTCCCTTTGCTAATTGTTCTTTTGCCCGTAAGTGTAAAGCCTCCAGCTTTTGTTTTGGTAGCAGCCACTGATTTACCCATACAGGTTTTTCTGTTTTCCAAGTTAATGGAATGGGTTTTGGGGGCTCTACAGTGGCCACTCCTAAAAAGGATATCCTATTCCTTTTCTTTCTTGATTTCCCTCAGCCTCAATTGGGATTTTAATGCCATCTCCATTTTTCCCTAGTCCTTTGCCAGGGAGATACCCCATTTTAGTCTGATTTTTTGACTCGTGGGGCTGTATAAGGAGGCTGGGATAGTCATCTCTGCATGCCATTGTTGTAACAAGTCTCGGCCCCATAAATTAATTGGAATAGCAGTAATCATAGGTTGAACTGTACTTTCTTGATTATCAGGTCCTAGACAATGTAAAATCATGGTGCTTTGATACACTTTTGAGGCGCTGCCCACACCGACAAGTCCTGTAACAGGCTTTTGTTTAGGCCAATTTTTTGGCCATTGATTTAAGGCGATAATGGAAACATCAGCATCGGTATCCAATAATCCTATAAACTGCTTTCCCTGAATAGTGACTGTACACACAGGTCTATTCTCTGAGACCTGACGAGCCCAATGAGTGGCTTTTCCGGCAGAGTTGGTACTTCCAAACCCTCCTGTCCTTTCCGTTTTATTTTCCCCAATTTTAATATAAGGCAAAAGCAATAATTGAGCAATTCTATTACCTGGATTGGCACTCCAGGGAACAGTGGAGCTGATCACTAACTGAATTTCCCCTTTATAATCTGAATCAATTACCCCAGTATGAATTTGGACTCCCTTCAAATTTAGACTTCATCTCCCTAAAATGAGGCCTACTGTCCCTCCTGGCAGTGGGCCATATACCCCTGTAGGAATCTTTTGCGGGGTCTCTCCAGGGAGTAAAGAAACCTTTTGAGTGGAACATAAATCTACTGCTGTGCTGCCTGCTGTGGCGGGGGACAGCTGTTGTATTGTTGTAATTGGCTGATTCCCTGAAGTGGTGGTATTTGCTGTGGTGGTTGCTGTCCCTGAAAACCCTGAAGAACAAACGGCTGAATCGGGAATGCCCCAGTTTGTTGTTGGGACTGAGGCTGGCCCCTCACCCCTTTTTCTGACAATAGTTGCCCATTTTTATCATATTTAGAACGACATTGATTAGCCCAATGTTTTCCTTTTCCATGTCTTGGACACAGGCCAGGTGGCTCTTTATTTTTACTCTGTTTATTTAAGACTGGGCAGTTCTTTTTTAGATGACCGATTTGACCACAATTATAACATTTCCCCCCAAATGCTCTAACTATCCTCCTAAAGTGACTCCGGTCATTGCTTGAGCCATTAGCATTGCCTTACGCATAGCTCCTCCAATCCCATCACAAGCTTTCACATATTCCGTAATTACATCAACTCCTGCTGGACCTTTTCCTTTTAATGGCTTTATGGCTGGTTGAAATTCTGGATTTGACTTTTGATAAGCCATTATTTCTACAATAACTTTTTGAGCATTATCATCCGAAACAGATTTTTCAGAGGCATCTTGCAACCTTGCCACGGAGTCTGCATATGGCTCTTTGCAGCCTTGTCTAATTGAATTAGAAGAAGGGCAAGCGGTGCCTGGGCAAGTGATGCCTGGGCAAGTGGTGTGTGGGGCACCCAGGTGCCTGGGTCCTGAATTTTTTCCCAGTCCCTGAGGCAAAGAGCCCTTAGATATTCAATACCCTCATTCTGCATTACTGACTGTTGGCCAATTGTACTCCAATTTGGACCTGTTCCTAGCAATCGATCTGCATCTATATTAACAGCGGGATAAATAGCCTGACTTTTCGTGCCTGTTCTTGTACTCCATCAATCCACCAGGTTTTAAATTGTAGGAACTGAGAGGGTGAAAGGGAAGATTTAGCCAACATTTCCCAATCATAGGGAATAAGTCTATTTCCATGAGCAATGGGATCTAATAAAGTTCTCATATAAGGGGAGTTGGGTCCATATTGTTTAACTCCTTCCTTCATATCTTTTAACATTTTCATGGTGAAAGATTCATATCTAGCCTCAGTTTGGACAGACGCTCCAGCTTGCCCCCCTTTCCCAGCTGGTATTGGTTGTAAAATTACAAGGAACTGCCATGCCTCAAGATCTCCCTGTTTTCTGGCTTTATCAATGATTTCATGCAGTGTACTACCTTGTCCACTAGGTGGTGATGTAGGACTAAACACCGCTGGGTTGCTGGTGAGGTGCCGTGCTATGTGGCACGGGACACACAGCTTGAGGTCTGTATTGAACCTCCGGAGACGGCCCATACTGAAGCTTAGCTGGCGGCCAGTATTGATAAACTACCGGTGGTTGGGTCTTATTTTCTACCAGCTGATATTGTGGATACTGTATCTGAATTGGCATGGCCGGGATAGAGACTCTATCCTTTTCTACATGATATTCTCTTGGGGTTTGCACTTGTCTAACCTGCATTTGAGGTTGTAATGTTACAGGCATCTGAACCACTGGAGGAGGAGTTGATGGCCATTGTGGTTTAGGCTCTGGTAGCCCCAATAATTCTGGACCTCCTTCCACCAGTTTTGATGATTCAGGATATATTACCTCCTGTAACTGATTGTAGTCAACATTTTGCGTTGACTGAGCCATTACAGACTCTGTTACATTTTACAATGTGAACTTTCCATTAATTTCCGGGATTTTGTCTCTGCCTCTTCTTCACAATCTACTACACAGCTTTCAGGGGCATCAGAAATTGAAAGGCTATCTTTTTCTATTTGAAACGGTTCTAAAGTTGTTTTAATAATGGGCCAATCATTCCATACTGTAAGTGGGATGATTTTATCTTCCCTACTTGCTTGTTTTAATTCTTTGCCAATTTTCCCCCAATCTTTTAGATCTAAAGTCCTTGTTTTGGAAACCATGGGCAGAATTGTTCTATTGTTTGAAATAGCATAATTAGATTTTCTGTAGAAGCTCTAACTCCCCATCTTCTTAGAAGAATTTTAATGAAGCTGAGATAAGAGGCATATTTACTTTCAGTTTGTCCCATTGTTACCCTGGGTTCCTCTGAGCACACAAGCTTACCGCATGGCTGACCGTGGAAGTACTTGGGAATCTCTCGTTGACTGTCTTCAATGCTCACGTTTTTAGCGTACCTTCACCCTAGAGAAAGGCCCACGTTGGGCGCCAGGTGAAGGGGGTCAGCCACTCCACACCTGTGGGTATTTCTCATCAGGCAGGACAAGAGACTGAGAAAAGAAATAAGACACAGAGACAAAGTATAGAGAAAGAAAAATGGGCCCAGGGGACTGCTGCTCAGCATACGGAGGACCCACACCGGCACTGGTCTCTGAGTTCCCTCAGTATTTATTGATTACTATTTTCACTAACTCAGTAAGGGAAAAGTGGCAGGAGAGCAGGGTGATAGTGGGGAGAAAGTCAGCAAGAAAACATGTGAGCAGAGGAATCTGTGTCACAAATAAGTTCAAGGGATGGTACTATGCCTGGATGTGCACATAGGCCAGATTTATGCTTTTCTCCACCCAAACATCTCAATGGAGTAAAGAGTAACAAAGCAGCATTGCTGCCAACATGTCTCGCCTCCCACCACAGGCAGTTTTTCTCCTATCTCAGAATAGAACAAATGTATAATCAGGTTTTATACTGAGGCATTCAGTTCCCAGGGGCAGGCAGGAGACAGAAGCCTTCCTCTTATCTCAACTGCAAGAGGCCTTCCTCTTTTACTAATCCTCCTCAGCACAGACCCTTAATGGATGTCAAGCTGGGTGGAAGGTCAGGTCTTTCCCATCCAATGAGGTCATATTTCAGACTATCACATGGGGAGAAACCTTGGACAATACCTGGCTTTCCAGGGCAGGGGTCCCTGAGGTTTTTCACAGTGTATTGCACCCCTGGTTACTTGAGAATGGAGAATGGTGATGACTTTTATCAAGCATACTGCCTGTAAACCTTTTGCTAGCAAAGCACATCCTGCACAGCCCTGGATCCCTTAAACCTTGATTCTATACAACACATGCTGCTGTGAGCTCAAAGTTGGGGCTAAAGTTACAGATTAACAGCATCTCAGGGCAAAGTCAGGGTACAGATCAAAATGAAGTTTCTTATGTCTTCCTTTTCTACATAGACACAGTAACCGTCTGATCTCTCTTTCTTTTCCCTGCATACGCTAGTCTTCTTCTTTAGTCTGCTAGGTATGGGAAGGGTGTTAAGAAAGGATCTCTCATCAATATGACCTGGCCCCCAAAAAGCATGCTTGATTTTTGAATGTGGTAAAGAAATATTTAAACCATGTTTTATGTCTATATGATTATTAGTATTTATATGTTATTTTCTTTTGTTTTGTTTTGTTTTTGAGATGGAGTCTCACTCTGTCATGAGGCTGAAGTGTGGTGGCACAATCTCAGCTCACAGCAACCTACGCCTCCTGGGTTCAAGCAATTCTCCTGCCTCAGCCTCTCTAGTAGCTGGGAGTACAGGCATGTGACAACATGTCCAGCTAATTTTTGTAGTTTTAGTAGAGATGGGGTTTCACCATGTTGGCCAGGATGGTCTCGATCTCTTGATCTTGTGATTCTCCTGCCTCAGCCTCCCAAAGTGCTACTATTATAGGTATGAGCCAACAAACCCAGCCATATTTATATATTGTAGGCAGTATTTTGCTAAAAGGGAATTTTGATATCTTTATAAGACACAACTAGTTTAATTAAGGAAGGAGCACTGCCCACCATGACGACAGGTATGGGTTGGTGATGCCCTGAAGCTCCAGGTAATCAATGATGTGAATGTCCCCTTCCAAAGCAGGGGCCATGCCTTGTGCAGTGAATCTCTGTCCCAGCACAGCTAATGGTCAGAAATGGATTCTTCTCAATCTGCCCATTAGGACTGAACAGGGTCTCAGCATCTGGTTAGCAGGGAGGGACCTGAGAAGGGGCTTTACTTGAGTGACTCACACTCTTTGCCCACATAGAATGTTCCTGGCCCTGTGTGTGCATCTTGTGGGTATTCACCCACTGATCAGCCACAGAACAAAGTCAGGAGGTAACAGATTTGTAAAGAGAAGTAAAGAACAGGAGGGAATTGATAAAAATGAGGAAATTTCATTTGGATGCCTGACTTCCTGGGGCAGGACCTCATTAAAAACACAGCTCGGTGCTTCTGATTTTCTCTTTTTCTTGTCTCTTTTTCCTGAGACGGAGTCTTGCTCTATTTCCCAGGCTGCAGTGTAGTGGCTCTATCTCAGCTCACTTAAACCTCTGCCTCCTGGCTTCAAGTGATTCTCCTACCTCAGCCTCCCAAATAGCTCGGACTACAAGTGCCTGCCACCATGCTCAGCTAATTTTTTTTTTGGCCCCGAGTCTCGCCCTGTCGTCCAGGTTGGAGTGAAGTGGCACGATCTGGAGATCTCAAGTACATGGACCGGGGAGGCTGCAGGAATTTGTTTATCTTGGGCTGGGGGTGCATGGGAAGTAGGTAGGGCTCCTGTGACCACAAACCCAAGGCCTCTGGGATCAGAAGGCAACAACAAGGGCCAGGACCTACCCCGGGGCCTGTGCTTGCAGGGACCCTGGCTCTCATTTGTATGTGGGGTGCCTGAGTGATTTCAGATTCCTCACCCATCCCCATTGGCTCTTCTAGGGGAGATGCAACCATAACACCTGTAGGTGACCCTGTGTAGGAAAAGACTGCAGAACCCACACGGGCCCATGCTGAGTGAGGCTTTCTCCAGGTGGGCACAAAAACCCCTAGCTCCCCAGCCACTGCCAGAGCTTGGGGTTGGGGGCCTTACATGGAGGCAAATGCAGGGAGCATTGGCAGAGGCAGGGCTGAGTGAAAGGAGAAGAAGAGCACATGGAAAAGACACAGGGGTCTCTGACAGTTCCAGGGCCAGAGGCACTTGGGAGTGGGAGAGGCATGACTGGGAGATAGGTCCAGAGCTTTTTCTGAGCCCTGAGGCCCCAGCAGGTTTACTTCCCTTCGAAGATCTCTCTGGGCTATTGTGCCTGGGAGTCAGGGCTGGCTCTGCTGCAGCCCTGTGGGAAGGGCATAGATCCCTCAGGGTCTAAGGTTCAACTTTACTCTTATCCTCAAATGAGGGCTTTTACCCAGGGACCTCTTGTCCGCAGATTCCACGTCTTCTTGCTGGACTCCCAGAGGAAGTTGTCCTACCAGGGACATGGGATGTTATACTTTTCTCTTCCATGGAACCAGCTCTGTCAGGTAGAGTTGTGCCTTTCTAGGTGGCCACACACACACACACATACTTACCATGTGGACATTGCAGTGATGCCCACTGGGCTTCGGGTTCTTCCATAGCACCCAGCTGAAAAAAGCCTCACCTAAGGCTAAGAAGAGACCTGGCTTGGACAAAAAAATACTTAGTGCATTCCAGGTGCATCCTTATCAGCTCTAAGGCTGGGCCAGGGGAACCTGGGAAGGGATGGCCCCTGCGCTGGGACCTGTCCAAGGCTCTGTCATCATCCTGGCAGCCTTGGAAGACCAGAGGGGTCAGGTCTTCCTCTGCAAGCCAGGCAGTGTCACCACCCAGAAGTCCAGGGTGCCTCTTTAGGTCCAGAGCAGCAGCTGTGGAGTTTCCTGCTTTGTGCCTTGCCATGTTCACCAACATCACTCAATATAAACTGGGGAAAATTTCTTAATTACTGCTGGGTCTCTCTGCATTGTGGCCATGTTCTGAAGTCCAGGAGAGATGGGCTGATGGCCTTGGGATGCATAAAGTGACGCCGGCCCCATCAGCTCAGGCTGAGGGAGAAAACAGAGGCTCAGGAATATTCTAGAGAGCCTAAGCAAGGGCCTCATAGGAGCTTTGGAATCCCAGTGTGGATTCTGGGAGTGGAGAATAGGTCAGGTCGTTTCCTGAGATGGGTTTCGAAGGTTGCTCTGAGCTTGGCAGCAGATGAGCACCTCGAGAAGAACTGGTGACAGAACATGGTAGAAAAGACCCCAAGTGCAGGATTCTCACTGGGGTCCTGGGGGTGCTACTGCACCCCTTGAAATGGGCAGGAAGAGGGAGTCAGTTAGCCAGTTCTTTCCAATATTTAGCTTATTGAACACCTTGGGGGTTCCACTGAGCCCCTCACCTGAGGGGTTTGCCAATCATTTGCTGCCAGAACATGGGAAGATTTTTCTCTGGCCAAATCTCAGGTTTATCAGGTTAGAAATGGGGAAAATAGCAACGTGCCTTAGATTCTCCATGAAGAAGAGCTGAGGTCCGGGATGATCAGTACCAGCCGTCTGTTGTGCCTCGTGGATGCTCAGTGAACACAGATTCTCACAACCATTATTGGTGTTGAGCTCACCCTCAGCCTCAGGTTTACAAAGTGGGGCGTGGGAAGTAGAAGCCTCACTGGGCTCAGGTGATCCTCCCACCTCAACTTCTTGGGCAGCTTGGCCTACAGGTGCACACTGCCTCCCCCCAGCTAATATCTTGTATTTTTATTAGAGACAGGGTTTCATCACATTGCCCATATTCCTCACAAACTCCTGAGCTCTAGCACTCTGCCTTTCTTGGCTTCCCAAAGGGCTGGGATTAGAGGCCTGAGGTCTTTCTTTCTTTTCCTTCCTTCCTTCCTTTCTTTCTTTCTTTCTTTCTTTTTTCTTTCTTTCTTTCTTTCTTTCTTTCTTTCTTTCTTTCTTTCTTTCTCTTTCTTTCTTCTTTCTTTCCTTCCTTCCTTCCTTCCTTCCTTCCTTCCTTCCTTCCTTCCTTCCTTCCTTCCTTCTTTCTTTCTTTCTTTCTTTCTTTCTTTCTTTCTTTCTTTCTTTCTTTCTTTCTTTCTTGCATGCTTGCTTGCTTTTTCTTTTGTTCTTTTTTGACAGTGTCATGCCATCACCCAGGATGGAGGGCAGTGGCGCCATCTCAGCTCACTGCAACTTCACATCCTGGGTTTAAGCGATTCTCCTGCCTCAGCCTTCTGAGTAGCTGGGAGTGCAGACATCTGCCACTATGCTCGGCTAATTTTTTGTATTTTTAGTAGAGACGGAGTTTCACCGTGTTAGCTAGAATGGTCTTGATATACTGACCTCATGATCAGCCCACCTTGGCCTCTCAAAGTGCTGATGTTACAGGCATGAGCCACTGTGCCTGGGTCTGAGCTTTCTTTGTAGGCCTAATGTTGATGCTCTGATAAGAATCTCTATGTTCAATATTAGCGACAGGAAAGGACTCTAAGAAGGAGGAAACATGAATTATCAAATTAGAGTAGGAAGGGAGTGGGTGAGATTAAGATTTGGATGAAGGGTCCTGGAAAATGACTGGGGCCAATGGTTGCTGGGAAATGTTCCACTGTGGGAAGATCCCAGAGTCTAAAGGAAAGGTTTCCAGATGATAGAACAATGATGGACATATGGACCCTCGTTCATTTCTCTCTCACATCCTGTAGAGCCCACAGTTTCTACCTGGGTGGCTTCCAGCTTGGGAGAGCCTCCCTTCCCAGGTCTGGCCCCAATCTTCTCTCTGGCCTCTGCTCCAGTTCACATTCTTAGATTCCATCTTTGCAAGCTGGTTTTCTGAGAGGAGCCCATCAGTTTTGTGAGTAAACACCCTTTACCTTCTAGTAGGGCCAAGACTATACCTGCCCCCTGTGTTTTCAAAGTGAATGTTATGGTTTAAGTCTGCCCTATCTCTTTTGATGATTCTCCTTTTAATTTCTGAACTCAATCTAGGGTGGGTGAGATGGCTGATGCATGTTATCCCAGCCTTTTGGGAGGCCAAGGTGAGGAGATCACTTGAGGTCAGGAGTTTGAGACCAGCCGGGCCAACATGGTGAAACCCCATCTCGACTAAAATACAAAAATTAGTAGGGCTTGTTGGAGTGCACCCGTAATTCCCAGCTACTTGGGAGGCAGAAATGAGAGAATCACTTGAACCAGAAGGTTGAGGCTGCAGTGAGCTGAAATCGTGCCACTGCACTCCAGCCTGAGTGACAGATGTAGGCCCAGTCTGAAAATCAAACAAACAATCAATAAATAAACTCAATCTTGACAAAAGACTTTGAGTCCTGACATCTAGATGCCCACAAGATAACCGCCATGTTTTACATTGTCTTGTTTCCTTTGCAGGTTCCCATTAGAACACCTAGTCTCATTCCGCTCAGTCCCCACCTCACTTGGTCACTTTGTCCTGATTTCCTTCAGTGAAGCCTTGACTTAGTCTTGAGATAGATCACACTCTCAGTGGTTCCTTTCTTCTACCTGAATGTGCATATGATCTGCTATGTTAGATAGCATAAAACACAGGTGACCATTCGATATACACAGCTTTTTATTCTGTTTTCTTGGGAATGACATCACTATCTTCTTCAGGCTATTGTAGCTCTGAAACATTTTGACAATTTTGATGTGGCCAAACATCCTCCAATAAGGACACCTTAAGGTTTTTTTTTTTTTGGTCTAATATCAGGAACAGATTAATCCCTTCCCTACATCACTACGAAAGTCGTGTATTAGCCAAACTTCATCAGTATTTGGGGAATAAATGAACGAATGAGTTTTAGACTTTCACCCTATTATTTATTCTTTTACTTCCATAAATGTGTATCTAATTCAATCGATTAGTCAGAAGAAAGCTGAAAACTCAATCAGGATTAACTGGGTGTGACTGCAAGATCTAATCAGGTATCACTTTCTGATTGGAAGCTGGTGATTGAGAAGGGAAGGGTGGGGTTAGAAAGGTCTATAAAAGCTCCTGAGGGTACCCAGAAGAGACCCACAGCACTCATTCCTGGAGCTACTGCTTGGTTCCCTGAGAGGTCCCAGAACTCTGCAAAGTGAGTCCAGCGCTGGTAAGTCACCACCTGCTTAGGGTCATGCCCATCTGATCAGCAGCCAGCCAGTCAGGGACGGTGACACACATCCCAAAGTGGCACACAATATTTTTCTGTCTGTTTCGTGAGATGAACAGATTTAGGCTTTCATTTTTCCTCTAAATGTAGTTTTGTCTTCATCCATCAAATTGTGATTTGTGCTTGGTTTTTGTCATTTTAAAATTCTTATCGAAGCAGGTTTTTAAAAAATATATTAAAAATTTACAGTGACATGAATTTTTATTTCTTGACATTTGAAGTTATCTGTTTTTGTGCCCTTCAATTACAGTTCATAGACTTGGTGTTATTGTGATTCTCCAAGTATGCTTTCATTTTCATAAAATCCTTAAAGGTATCCCACACACCAATCTCAAGAGTGCAGTTTTGCTCAGATCATGGGATTTATCTTTGCCCCTAGGATCCATCAAAAAGTGGGTAATTGTGAGTATGTGGAAGTGATGTCTATAGGAACCTTCATCTCAGAGTTACAGTGCTCTAGAATAGCATGGTAGCACTTTTACAGTTTTTGAGATGGAGTTTCCCTATTGTTGCCCAGGCTGGAGTGCCATGGTGTGGTTTGGTTCACTGAAATTTCTGCCTCCTAGTTACATGCGATTCTCCTGCTTCAGCCTCCTGAGTAGCTTGGATTACAGGCACTCACCACCATGCCCAGCTAATTTTTGTATTTTTAGTAGACACAGGGTTTTGCCATGTTGGCCATGCTGGCCTCAAACTCCTGACCTCAGGAGATCTGCCCCCCTCAGACTCCCAAAGTGCTGGGATTACAGGAGTGAGCCACCGCGCCCAGGTACAGTTAGCATTTCTATACATACCTTCCAAATGCTGTGGAATACCATCACACCACTTTTACAGTTCCAGTGAATTATTTTGTTTTTTTTCTGCGATGTACTCTGAGTGTGTCACCCAGACTGGAGTGCAGGGCCCTGAGCTGGGCTCCCTGGAAACTCTGCCTCTGGGCTTCAAGTGATTCTCCTTCCTCTGCCTCCAGAGTAGCTAGGATTACAGTCATGCATGACCACACCTGGCTAACATTTTAATTAATTAATTTATCAATTTGTTTTTGTTTGAGTCGGAGTCCAACTCTGTCACCCAGGCTGGAGAGCAGTGGTGAGATCTTGGCTCTCTGCAACCTCTGCCTTCTGGAGTCAAATGATTCTTAATTTTTTTGTATTTAGTAGAGACATCGTTTCATTATGTAGGCCAGGCTGTTCTCGAACTCCTGACCTCAAGTGAACTGCCTGCCTTGGTGTCCAGCAGTGTTGGGATTACAGACATGAGCCACAGCACCTGGTCCATTTCTGGTAGAAAATTTTCAAAATAAAAAATAATGGCATCGATTTTAGGGAGTCCCTTTAGTGTTCCCCCAGCATGTTTATGGTGTAAACTGAGAATGGAGGCTGTCTGGGGCCACAGGACACTCTCATTCTCATTGCTTTAGGGTGGTAAGTGACAAGAAATTTTTCCTCAAAGAGGTAGAGCTTGGCTTTCAGGATCCTCAGTGGCACTGTCCGGTGGTTCTGGGATTCAGTGGAGCAATGGATGAAAATTAATAAACCAGTGGTCTCCTTGACCCCTCCCTCCTTGGTGTTTGGAAGACATTCTTCCTGGTACCAGTAGAAGCAGATGATTGTGTTTGCCATGAGAGTGATACATTTTCCCTGGATTTGTCTTCTAGAGATTTTCCTTGCAGATCTATCAGGATGAGCATCCAGGCCCCACCCAGACTCCTGGAGCTGGCGGGGCAGAGCCTGCTGAGAGACCAGGCCTTGTCCATCTCTGCCATGGAGGAGCTGCCCAGGGTGCTCTATCTCCCACTCTTCATGGAGGCCTTCCGCAGGAGACACTTCCAGACTGTGACGGTGATGGTGCAGGCCTGGCCCTTCACCTGCCTCCCTCTGGGATCACTGATGAAGACGCTTCATTTGGAGACCTTAAAAGCATTGCTGGAAGGGCTTCATATGCTGCTTACACAGAAGGATCGCCCCAGGTGAGGTGACCCAGGAGGGCTGGTAGATAGGGCTCAGGTGTCCAGGGAAAGAACAGCAGGGTCAGGCAGAGAAGTAGCCCAAGTGTAGCCCAGAGTCTTCTGATGGTGTTGGCGAGGAAGATCAGGGAGGCTTTGGCCATTGTCCAGATCCTCAGAGAAAGGACTGCTCACCATACAGGGTCCACTGTGGGAACAGAAACCTGCCTTTTCTCAGTGGAAGGTAAAGGGAATAGAAGTGGGGACCACTCAGAATCCAAAGGGAAAAGGGATCAAGAAAAGACAAAGAGAACAGGGAGCACTGAGGACATGAGCAGCTGATTTATGGGATGACAATGAAAGCAAAGGTCAGGGATTTGTCCTTCTAAATTCTGAGCCTCTCCCTTATTTTACCCACAGGAGGTGGAAACTTCAAGTGCTGGATTAGCGGGACGTTGACGGGAATTTCTGGGCCAGATGGCCTGGAGCCTGGGCCCTGTCCTGCTTCCCAGAGACCATGAGTAAGAGGCAGACAGCAGAGGACCGTCCAAGGATGGGAGAGCACCAGCCCTTAAAGGTGTTCATAGACATCTGCCTCAAGGAAATACCCCAGGATGAATGCCTGAGATACCTCTTCCAGTGGGTTTACCAAAGGAGAGGTTTAGTACACCTGTGCTGTAGTAAGCTGGTCAATTATCTAACGCCGATTAAACATCTCAGAAAGTCGTTGAAAATAATATACCTGAATAGTA
Organism: Homo sapiens; assembly: GCF_000001405.40. NCBI lineage: Eukaryota > Metazoa > Chordata > Mammalia > Primates > Hominidae > Homo > Homo sapiens. Next base: position 25,995 of record NW_015495298.1, read on the forward strand.
TTCAATAGCTGGAAATTCACAACATGTCCTGGCCACGTCTGATAAGAAAGCTTCGTTGTTACCTGAAGGAGATGAAGACTCTTGGCAAACTCGTTTTCTCCAGGTGCCATCATTCCACGTCAGATAATGAACTCGAAGGACGGTTAGTCACCAAATTCAGCTCTGTGTTCCTCGGGCTGGAACACCTCCAGTTGCTTAAAATAAAATTGATCACCTTCTTCAGTGGGCACCTGGAACAGCTGATCAGGTGAGGAAGGATCATGCATTTTTTATGCAGACCACAGCATAGCCTTGTTCTCTTACAGCAAACATTAGAAGGCGTGTACTGTGTGCCAGCCAGTGGCAACGTCACAGTGAAGGGGACACCAGAATGTCAACACATTGTCCCATTCAGTGTTCCATGTCCTGGAGTGGCTATCACAGGATCGCTCCAATAAGGGCAGAGGGGTCACCTGGGGTAGAAGCTAGAGAGGGACATCATGTACAAGCTAGTTAGTGGGGGTTTCAGCTCTATTGGGGGTGCACGTGTGAATTTCCTGTTACAAAGTGTGTTTCAAGTTGATATGATGTCAAAGAGATAATAGAGGAGGGTATGAAAGGAGGGAAAGTGCATCAAACCTGTCCATTTCACAATAGAACGTCTGTCCTCACCGGCTTAGTGATCACGAATGATCCTGTCTCTGATTCCCTGTTTGTAAAAGGTTGTTTTGAACTCCAGGAAAGGTAACTGACATGGGAAATGCGTGCTTCTGGGATGGAGGTGAGGGAGTAGGCGTGAGAGTGGTAAAAAGTGACAGTTGGTTTGCAGATGCAGGCATGTCAGGTAGCCCCTGCCGACATGTAGCCCTAGCTGATGTCCCTAGACCTTGCTGAGTTGAGTTCTTTGTTCACATCTCCCACCGGGTACCTGTGGCCCAGAGATAAAGTTTTCTGCTAAAAGATGAAAAAAAAAAAAGGCTTTAGAGATTTTATGGCCTTGACCCAATCACACAAGCAATGGTGAAAGGGCTGATTCTAAAATGGGACAGCCCCTGAGCGATCAGGGTCCTCATCATGCAGCAACTTCCATGAGGACCATCATCAGATGGTGGGAACAAACTTGTGTTTGTTTGACGCAGGCATTTTCCTAGATGAAGGCACTACCTTCATCTAACTGGTACCATTGCCCAGAACTAACTTCTTGATCTCCACAGGTGCCTCCAGAACCCCTTGGAGAACTTGGAATTAACTTATGGCTACCTATTGGAAGAGGATGTGAAGTGTCTCTCCCAGTACCCAAGCCTCGGTTACCTAAAGCATCTGAATCTCAGCTACGTGCTGCTGTTCCGCATCAGTCTTGAACCCCTCGGAGCTCTGCTAGAGAAAATTGCTGCCTCTCTCGAAACCCTCATCTTGGAGGGCTGTCAGATCCACTACTCCCAACTCAGTGCCATCCTGCCTGGCCTGAGCCGCTGCTCCCAGCTCACCACCTTCTACTTTGGCAGAAATTGTATGTCTATGGGTGCCCTGAAGGACCTGCTGCGCCACACCAGTGGGCTGAGCAAGTTAAGCCTGGAGACGTATCCTGCCCCTGAGGAGAGTTTGAATTCCTTGGTTCGTGTCAATTGGGAGATCTTGACCCCACTTCGGGCTGAGCTGATGTGTACACTGAGGGAAGTCAGGCAGCCCAAGAGGATCTTCATTGGCCCCACCCCCTGCCCTTCCTGTGGCTCATCACTGTCTGAGGAACTGGAGCTCCATCTTTGCTGCTAGGGAAGGCATGCCCAGTGGGGTAGAGAAATCCAAAGTTCTCTTCCAGGCACTTGGACACTAAAATCTACTATGTAGGTGCAAGCTATTTTTCTCTTTTCTTATTTATTTCATTTTTTAATAATTCCAAAATTTTTATTAAAGACAATTTGAGACAGGGTTTCTCTGTGTTGCTCTGGGATCCTCCTGCCTCAGCTGGGCTTATGGGATCCTCCTGCCTCAGCTTCCTAAAGTGCTGGGATTACTGGCATGAGTGACTGTGTCCAGGCCACATGCAACTTAAAGGAAGCACAGGGAAGTGCTCAGTGTGAGGGAGAAAACATAACAGCAGGGGGCAAGGCTGGAGGAAAATGTTGAGGTGACATCAATGAGAACTTCAGGGACCCGTGTCCTACAGAGTCGGAAAGAGAAGCTAAAGTTCTACAGTGATGAGAATGTTATCCCTGCAAGGATGGTTACCAAGGAATATCAGAAATAAAGAGCACCTGAATGAAAACTTTTAACGTGTTGTAGCAATTTATCCACCAGAAATATCTAGTTATTGAGTTACTGATGGAAAAATAATGAAATACTACTTTGTCTGTGATTGAGTTTCAGCTGTAGAACATCAAAGCAACCAAATAAAATTTGATCATTTTAAGTATTTCCCACCCATTCTTGTTCTTTGTTTTGTTTTGGAGACAAAATCTCAGTTTGTCATTTAGGCTGGAGTGCAGTGGTGCAATCTGGGCTCATTGCAATCCTTTCCTTCAGGGCTCAAGTGATTCTTGTGCCTCAACCACTCAAATAGCTGGGACTGCAGGCACGTTCCACCAAGACTGGCTGATTTTTGTATTTTTAATAGAGATGAGGTTTTTCCGTGTTGATCAGCCTGGTCTCAAGATCCTGGCTTCAAGTGATCCACTGACCTTGGCCTCCCAAAGCGCTAGGAAAACAGGCATACAGATGATCTCCACCCATTCTTTACTTCTCTTCAGTCATCAGTTTTTTTCTTACTTTTTTGCCCACGGGGAGCAGCTCGGTCAGGCGCGAAGGGACGGGCAGAGAGGGGCCCCAAGGAGAAGATAGGAATGGGGTGGTGCCACGCTCGCACAAGATGTGCGGATGCCAGGCCCAGAAGGCATAGCTGGGGCCATCCATCAGGGGGCCAGGGTGAGAAGCAGAAATGGCACCTGCTTCAAGGACCTGGCCAGCTATCTGGTCACTGTGCCCATCCTGCTAACGGTGTCAAGCTCCCAGGTCTTGAAGGGAGGTTCTATGCGGATCCACCCCAGGCTGTGTTTCCGAGATCCGCCCCCCATAGGGGTGACCAGCCCGATTGCTGGGCCTGGAACCATGAACCACTCCTGGAGGCACTCCCCTTGACTGGGTCATGAGCCAGGCCTGTGCTCCATTTCCCTGAGGCAGCCAACTGTGCCACCCACACCCTCTCATCGCAAAATGGAACCTTGTCCCAGGTCTGGAGTCTCCACCACAGCCTCTACTTCACTGCTCACTGCCTGCTGTTAGCCTGCAAGCTCCTGGATGATAGTGCAGTTGGGGCTGGTTAAACCACACCCAGGAGCATTGGGTTTGTTTGTGCGGGGTTGGTCAGAGCTGCTGTGTATCTGCTTCTCAACTGTCACTTCTGCAGGGAAACACAGAGAAAGGGCACATCCAAGGCTGCGTACACTTCAGAGCTGATGGGAGCCTGGGACAAGAGGGAGTCCTGGTCCTCCTGAGTTGGCAGGGCAGTAGCTCCAAAGACGCAACTGAAGTTGTCCAGGTCACAGTTACCAAATGAGGTCCCCCAGTACTCTCGAGGGTCCAGGAGATCCCCCCTTCTCCTGCAGCTTGGGGGTGTCCGCTCTCACTGCCTCATCTCTCATGGCACCTGCTCTAATTTTGGAGTGTGGTTGTGGTCAAGCCCAGATGCTGTCGCAGCCCAGGTGGGTCTGTGCACACTCGGGTCAGTGCTGATGCACCATCCCACTGCTGTCTTGAACCCTCTGGACTTTGGGCCTTGATGAGTGTAGGAGGGAGGCTGAGGGGTGTTGCGGACTGATCAGCACTGGTCTTTGGATGCTCCTTGGTACAAGTGACCTGGGCTCCATGGTTGGTGGTGGGAGGCAGACAGAATCCTGGACAGGAAGGTGAGGGTCACTGGTGAAGCTCCACCTTCTGATCAAGGAGGGCCTGAAGCCCATGGGCTGGGCCACCAGTCCTATGGACCAGAGTGGGAACATGTGTTGCCTTTTCTGTGCCTGCTCATGGCCACCTATGACCCAATGAGTGCATACTTTCTCCTGTCTGATGTCAAAAAAACCCCAGACTCAGGGAGAACATTAGGAAGACCAGTGGCAGAGAGGAACTACCCACTGTGGGGATGATTTTCCTGTAGAGACAAGCAACCCCCTCCGGGTCCTTTTCTCTGCTGAGAGCTGTAGAGATGATGAGATGACTTTCCTGCAGAGAGCAGCAACCCACTCCAGGGCCTTCTCTCTACTGAGAGCAGTGGTGATGATGGAATAACCTGCCAGGAGGGAGGGGTCACCCACCCAGGGCCTCCTCTCTGCTCAGTACTAAACACTCATCAGGACGCCCTGGCTGCAGAAAGAAGTTACCCACTGTGGGTCTCTGAGCTGTTCTATTGCTCAATAAAGCTCCTCTTTATCTCACTCACCCTCCACTTGTCTGCATATTTCACTCTTCCTGGTCACAGGACAAAAACTTGAGACCCGCCTAATGGTGGGGTAAAAGAGCAATAACACAAATAAAGCTGAAACATGCCCCTTGCTCACCAAATTGTAGGTGAAGAGAAAAAGAGAAGAGCGACTACTCTTCCAGGAGCCCAGATGTGGGAGCTTCCTGAGCCAGGGCTGTGACTCCCTTTTGGGGGTTCTGCAGTTCCTGGCATTTCCAAGCTTTCAGTGTTGGTGTCACTGTGTATTCCAGTGACAACCATGGAAGCTGTTTGTGCTGTGCCTGATTCATTTGCAGCCTTGCAGAAATCTGGCACACATGCTGACACCTGGAGCTGCCCAACCCACTGCTGCAGCAGCAGCAGCCGGTGACCGTCCAAAGTGGCCAGACCCCCTGCTCACTCACACACCCCTCACCACTCCAGCCCTGACCCGCCCTTAATAGGCATGTGCTCCAGGCTTGAAACATGAGCCAAGCATAGTCTACCAGGCTGCATGGGCAGAACGAACCCAGTGAACCCCATCAAAACTCTGGCAAAGGTGCCCCCAGCCACAGAGGTTTCTGGCCAGAAGAGTCACATTCTAAGTATTCCAGAAGAGAAAATTACTTAAACACAAAGAAAGACAATAAGAAAAGGATGGAAGAGAGAAGTCTCTAAACAACCAAAAAACAAGAAATGAAATGGGAGCACTAAGCCTTTATCAATAAAAACAATGAATATAATTTATCTCAATTCTGCAAGTGAAAGGCATAGGGTCTTTGAATGAGTAAAAACATAAAACCCTACTATATGCTGTTTTCCAGAAACTTAATTCACCTATAAACATACATGTAGATGGAAAGTGAATGGGTAGAATAAGATATTCCATGCAACTGGAAACCAAAAACAGCAAGAGTAGCTGTACTTATATCAGGTAAAATAGATGCCAAATCTCACAATGCACTCAGATAAAACAGAATACAAATCTGAGCTTGTAAAATAATAGACTACGCTTACACAAACTATGCCTAGAAAGAACATACATCAAAATAATAGAAGCCAAAAATGACAAATCCACATGCAACATCATATTGAATGAAGAAACGTTGAAAGTATTCCTGCTAGGAACTACAAGCAGACAAAAATCCTCACTTTATCCACTTGTAATCAACATAGGACTGAAAATTTTTGTCAGAGCAATCTGGTAAGCAAAAGGAATAAAGTATAATTAAATTGGAAAGAAGGAAGTGAAACTACCTGTGTTTGCCAATGATGTGATCATATGTGCTTAGAAAACTGGAAAGATTCCACCAAGACTCATAGATGCGATAAGTGAATTCACTTAAATCTCAGGTACAAAATCAATATGTACAAATAAGTACCACTGTTTGATACCAACAACAAGCAAGCTGAGAATCAATTCAAGAACTCCATCCCTTCACAATAGTTGCAAAACAACAACAAAAACAGTGACAATAACAAAAACAACCTAGGAATACACTTAACCATTAGGTAAAGGATCTCTATGAGATGAACTACAAGACACTGCTGAAAAAAATCATAGACAACAAAAAAGTAGAAAAACAGCCCATGCTCACGGATTGACAGACACAATATTGTGAAAATGACCACACTGCCCAAAGCAATCTAAAAACTGCAAACATCAAACATCAATCTAAAAACGTCAGTCTAAAAATTTCATACACCAAAATACAAACACCATTTTCACAAGATTAAAAAAAGAATCCTAAGATTCATATGGAGATGAAGAAGAGCCTGAAGAGCCAAAGCAATCCGAAGCAAAATGAACAAATATGGAGACATCACATTACCTGACTTCAATTTATACAGTAAGGCAATAGTAAGCAAAACTGCGTGGTGCCAGTATGAAGGTCGAGACATAGACCAATGGAATGGAATAGAGAACCCCGGAATAAAGCCGCATACTTACAACCCAGCGGTAGGACTGCTGCTTCTCAGTTTGTGCTGAGTGATGCCCCTTGGGGATATGGGGCCAAAGTTACTGGATTTTTCCCCCAAGAAAACCAGAGAGTGAATTGTGATATCCTGTGTGATTTTTAGACTGACTATTGCCATAGTGCTTAGGTCGTCTCCAGGTGCCCAGAGACTCAATCACCAACCAGTGTCCACATTCTTGTCACCGCTGCAAGAAAGAGTTTAGGAAGTAGGCAGAATGAAGCAAAAGGCAAGAAGTGTCTATTGCAAAGCAAAGGAACACACTCAAGAGAGGGCTTATTCAGGAGAGCGAGTCAGGTACAAGAGAGTTTGGGTTTCTAATTTTATAGGATCTGTAAGGAGAGGTTGAAATAATCATTAGGATTTTAAGAAAAAATGGTGAAGTTTTCTTAGAACTGAGGTGTCATTTATTTATTTATTTATTTATTTATTTATTTATTTATTTATGTTTTGAGATGGAGTTTCGCTCTTGTTGCCCAGGCTGGAGTGCAATGGCGCGATCTTGGCTCACTGCAATCTCCGCCTCCCGTGTTCAAGCAATACTCCTGCCTCAGCCTCTGGAGTAGCTGGGGTTACAGACATGCACCACCACACTCGGCTAATTTTGTATTTTTAGGAGAGACGAGATTTCTCCATGTTGGTCAGGGTGGTCTCAAACTCCCGACACCAGGTTATCCGCCTGCCTCAGTTTCCCAAAATGTTGGGATTACAGGCATGAGCCACTGCACGTGGCTAGGTGTTAACTATTTTTATACTAAATATGGGCATTCTCAGAACCGTCCTGGCGCTGGTGTGTGACTTACTGTCATAATAGGTGTATAATTAGGCCTGGGGTAGGGCAAGGGTCAAACCCAGTGCCATGTCTGACCAATTCAGTGTCAGCCAGCTTAGCCCCTTCCTGCTTGTTTGGATCTTATGGGTCAAGGCTTATCCTTATTCTTGCAGCTAATTTTACAAGCTCTTTTCTTGCTGCTATATGAAATCACTGCTTGATATTTTCATGCTTCTCCTGTGACCAGCCAGCTTTCCTATTTTATGGGTATTTCTTTTCTTCTCCCTTCCCTTCCCTTCCCTTCCCTTCACCTCCTCTCCCATCCCCTCCCCTCCACTGTCTTTTCTTTTCCTTTCTTTCTTTCTTTCTTTCTTTCTTTCTTTCTTTCTTTCTCTCTCTCTCTCTCTCTCTTTCCTTCCTTCCTTCCTTCCTTCCTTCCTTCCTTCCTTCCATCTTTCTTGCTTCATCTCTTTCTTTCTTTCTTTCTTTCTTTCTTTCTTTCTTTCTCTTTCTTTCTTTCTTTCTTTCTTTCTTTCTTTCTTTCTTTCTTTCTTTTTTTCTTTCTTTCTTTCTTTCTTTCTTTCTTTCTTTCCACTTTAAGTTCTGGGATACATGTGCAGAACGTGCAGTTTTGTTACATACGTATACACATGCCATGGTGGTTTGCTGTACCCATCAACCCGTCATCTACATTAGGTATTTCTCCTAATGCTACCCCTCTCCTAGCCCTCCACACCCCGAGAGGCCCTGATGTGTAGTGTTCCCCTACCTGTGACCATGAGTTCTCATTGTTCAACTCCCACTTATGTGGTGTTTTGGTTTACTGTTCCTGTGTTAGTTTGCTGAGAATGATGGTTTCTAGCTTCATCCATGTCCCTGCAAAGGAAATGAACTTATTTTTTATGACTGCATAGTATTCCATGATGTATATGTGCCACATTTGCTTTATCCAGTCTATCATTGATGGGCATTTGGGTTGGTTCCAAGTCTTTGCTGTTGTGAATAGTGCTGCAATAAACATACTTGTGCATGTGTCTTTATAGTAGAAGGATTTATAATCCTTTGGATATATACCCAGTAATGAGATTGCTGGATCAAATGGTATTTCTGGTTCTAGATCCTTGAGGAATTGCCACACTGTCTTCCACAATGGTTGAACTAATTTACACTCCCACCAACAGTGTCAAAGCATTCCTATTTCTCCACATCCTTTCCAGCATCTGTTGTTTCCTGACTTTTTAATGATCACCATTCTAACTGGCATGAGATGGTATCTCACTGTGGTTTTGATTTGCATTAGAGAAATGCAAATCAAATGACCAGTGGTGATGAACATTTTTTCATATGTTTGTTGGCTGGATAAATGGTTTTTTTGGAGAGTTGTCTGTTAGTATCCTTCACCCACTTTTTGACAGGGTTGTTTGTTTTTTTCTTGTAAATTTGCTTAAGTTCCTTGTAGATTCTGGATATTAGCCATTTGTCTGATGGATAGATTGCAAAAAATTTTCCCATTCTATAGGTTGCCTGTTGACTCTGATGATAGTTTCTTTTGCTGTGCAAAAGCTCTTTATTTTAATTAGATCCCATTTGTCAATTTTGGCTTTTGTTGCCATTGGTTTTAGTGTTTTAGCCATGAAGTCTTTGCCCATGCCTATGTCCTGAATGGTATCACCTAGGTTTTCTTCTAGGGTTTTTATGGCTTTAGGTCTTACATTTAAGTCTTTAATCCATCTTGAGTTAATTTTTGCATAAGGTGAAAGGAAGGGGTTCATTTGCAGTTTTCTGCATATGGCTAGCCAGTTTTCCCAACACCGTTTATTAAATAGGGAATCCTTTCCCCATTGGCTGTTTTTGTCAGGTTTGTCAAGGTTCAGATGGTTGTAGATGTGTGGCATTATTTCTGAGTCCTCTGTTCTGTTCCATTGGTCTACATATCTGTTTTGATAACTGTACCATGTTGTTTTGGTTACTGTAGCCTTGTCGTATAGTTTGAAGTCAGGTAGCGTGATGCCTCCAGCTTTGTTCTTTTTGCTTAGGATTGTGTTGTGTATACAGGTTCTTTTTTGCTTCCATATGAAGTTTTAAGTAGTTTTTTCTAATTCTGTGAAGAAACTCCATTACAGCTTGATGGGGATAGCATTGAATCTATAAATCACTTTGGGCAGTATGGCCATTTTCATGATATTGATTCTTCAGACCCATGAGCGTGGAATGTTTTTCCATGTGTTAGTGTCCTCTCTTATTTCCTTAAGCAGTGGTTTGTAGTTCTCCTTGAAGAGGTCCTTCACATCCCTTGTAAGTTGTATTCCTATGTATTTTATTTTCTTTTAGCAATTGTGAATGGGAGTTCACTCATGATTGGCTCTCCGTTTGTCTATTGTTGATGTATAGGAATGATTTTGATTTTTGCACATTGATTTTGTATCCTGAGACTTTGTTGAAGTTGCTTATCAGCTTTAGGAGATGTTGGGCTGAGATGATGGGGTTTTCTAAATATACAATCATGTCATCTGCAAACAGAGACAATTTGACTTCCTCTCTTCCTATTTGAATACTCTTTATTTCTTTCTCTTGCCTGATTGCCCTGGCCAGAACTTCCAATACTATGTTGAATAGGAGTGGTGAGAGGGGGCATCCATGCATTGTGCTGGTTTTCAGAGGGAGTGCTTCTAGCTTTTGCCCATTCAGTATGATATTGGCTGTGGTTTTGTCATAAATGGCTCTTATTATTTTTACATACGTTCCATCAATACCTAGTTTATCTAGAGTTTTTAGCCTGAAAGGGTGTTGAATTTTATCGAAGGCCATTTCTGCACATATTGAAACAATCATGTGGTTTTTGTCATTGGTTCTGTTTATGTGATGGATTACGTTTATTGATTTGCGTAAGTGGAACCAGCCTTGCGGATCAGGGATGAAGCCGACTTGATATTGGTGGATAAGCTTTTTGACGTGCTGCTGGATTCGGTTTGCCAGTATTTTATTGAGGATTTTTGCATCGATGTTAATCAGGGATATTGGTCTCAAATTCCCTTTTTTTGTTGTGTCTCTGCGAGGCTTTGGTGTCAGGATGATGCTGGCCTCATAAAATGAGTTAGGGAGGATTCCCTCTTTTTCTATTAAGTGGAATAGTTTCAGAAGGAATGGTACCAGCTCCTCCTTGTACCTCTGATAGAATTCGACTGTGAATCCATCTGGTCCTGGACTTTTTTTGGTTGGTAAGCTATTAATTATTTCCTCAATTTCAGAGCCTGTTATTGGTCTATTCAGAGATTCACCTTCTTCCTGGTTTATTCTGGGGAGGGTGTATGTGTTGAGGAATTTATCCATTTCTTCTAGATTTTCTAGTTTATTTGCATAGAGGTGTTTATAGTATTCTCTGATGGTAGTTTGTCTTTCTGTGGGATCCGTGGTGATATGCCCTTTATCATTTTTTATTGCATCTATTTGATTCTTCTATCTTTTCTTTATTAGTCTTGCTAGCAGTCTATCTATTTTGTTGATCTTTTCAAAAAACCAGCTACCGGATTCATTGATTTTTTGAAGGGGTTTTTGTGTCTCTATTTCCTTCGGGTCTGCTCTGATCTTAGCTATTTCTTGCTTTCTGCTGGCTTTTGAATATGTTTGCTCTTGCTTCTCTAGTTCTTTTAATTGTGATGTTCGGTTGTCAATTTTAGATCTTTCCTGCTTTCTCTTGTGGGCATTTAGTGCTATAAATTTCCCTCTACACACTGCTTTGAATGTGTCCCAGAGATTCTGGTATGTTGTGTCTTTTTTCTCATTGGTTTCAAAGAATGTCTTTATTTCTGTCTTCATTTCGTTATGTACCCAGTAGTCATTCAGGAGCAGGTTGTTCAATTTCCATGTAGTTGAGCGGTTTTGAGTGAGTTTCTTTTATTATTATTATTATGCTTTAAGTTTTAGGGTACATGTGAACAACGTGCAGGTTTGTTACATATGTATACGTGTGCCATGTTGGTGTGCCGCACACATTAACTCGTCTTTTAGCCTTAGGTATACCTCCTAATGCTATCCTATGCAGCCATAAAAAATGATGAGTTCATGTCCTTTGTAGGGACATGGATGAAGCTGGAAACCATCATTCTCAGCAAACTATCACAAGCACAAAAAACCAAACACTGCATGTTCTCGCTCATAGGTGGGAATTGAACAATGAGAACACATGGACACAGGAAAGGGAACATCACACACTGAGTGAGTTTCTTAATCCTGAGTTCTAGTTTGATTGCACTGTGGCCTGAGAGACAGTTTGTTATAATTTCTGTTCTCTTACATTTGCTGAGGTGTGCTTTACTTCCAACTATGTGGTCAATTTTTGGAATAAGTGCAGTGTGGTGCTGAGAAGAATGTATATTCTGTTGATTTTGGATGGTGAGTTCTGTAGATGTCTATTAGGTCCGCTTGGCGCAGAGCTGAGTTCAATTCCTGTATATCCTTGTTAACTTTCTGTCTCATTGATGTGTCTAATGTTGACAGTGGGGTGTTGAAGTCTCCCATTATTATTGTGTGGGAGTCTAAGTCTCTTTGTAGGTCTCTAAGGACTTGCTTTATGAATCTGGGTGCTCCTGTATTGGGTGCATCTATATTTAGGATAGTTAGCTCTTCTTGTTGAATGGATCCCTTTACCATGATGTAATGGCCTTCTTTGTCTCTTTTGATCTTTGTTGGTTTAAAGTCTGTTTTATCCGAGACTAGGATGGCAACTCCTGCCTTTTTGTGTTTTCCATTTGCTTGGAAGATCTTCCTCCATCCCTTTATTTTGAGCCTATGTGTGTCTCTGCATGTGAGATGGGTTTCCTGAATACAGCACACTGATGGGTCTTGACTCTTTATGAAATTTGCCAGTCTGTGTTTTTTAATTGGAGCATTTAGCCCATTTACATTTAAGGTTAATATTGTTATGTGTGAATTTGATCCTGTCATTATGATGTTAGCTGGTTATTTTGCTCTTTAGTTGATGCAGTTTCTTCCTAGTATCGATGGTCCTTCCAATTTGGCATGTTTTTGAAGTGGCTGGTACCAGTTGTTCCTTTCCATGTTTAGTGCTTCCTTCAGGAGCTCTTTTAGGGCAGGCCTGGTGGTGACAAAATCTCTCAGCATTTGCTTGTCTGTAAAGGAATTTATTTCTCCTTCACTTATGAAGCTTAGTTTGGTTGCATATGAAATTCTGGGTCAAAAATTCTTTTCTTAAGAATGTTGAATATAGGCCCCCACTCTCTTCTAGCTTGTAGAGTTTCTGCTGAGAGCTCCGCTGTCAGTCTGATGGGCTTCCCTTTGTGGGTAACCCGACCTTTCTCTCTGGTTGCCCTTAACATTTTTTCCTTCATTTCAACTTTGGCGAATCTGACAATTATGTGTCTTGGAGTCGCTCTTCTCAAGGAGTATCTTTGTGGCATTCTGTGTATTTCCTGAATTTGAATGTTTGCCTGCCTTGCTAGATTGGGGAAGTTCTGCTGGATAATATCCTGAAGAGTGTTTTCCAGCTTGGTTCCATTCTCCCCATCACTTTCAGGTACACCTGTCAGACATAGACTTGGTCTTTTCACATAGTCCCATATTTCTTGGAGGCTTTGTTCATTTCCTCTTATTCTTTTATCTCTGAACTTCTCTTCTCGCTTCATTTCATTCGTTTGATCTTCCCTCACTGATACCCTTTCTTCCAGTTGATGGAATCAGCTACTGAGGCTTGTACATTTGTCACGTGGTTCTCGTGCCATGGTTTTCAGCTCCATCAGGTCCTTCAAGGACTTCTCTGCATTGGTTATTTTAGTTAGCCATTCATCTAATTTTTTTTCAATGTTTTTGACTTCTTTGCCATGGGTTCGAACTTCCTCTTTTAGCTCAGAGTCGTTTGATCATCTGAAGCCTTCATCTCTCAACTCATCAAAGTCCTTCTCCCTCTAGCTTTGTTCCATTGCTGGTGAGGAGCTGCGTTCCTTTGGAGGAGGAGAGGAACTCTGATTTTTAGAGTTTCCCGTTTTTCTGCTCTGTTTTTTCCCCATCTTTGTGGTTTTATCTACCTTTGGTCTTTGATGATGCTGATGTACAGACTGGGTTTTGGTGTGGATGTCCTTTCTGTTTGTTAGTTTTCCTTCTAACAGTCAGGACCCTCAGCTGCAGGTCTGTTGGAGTTTGCTGGAGGTCCACTCCAGAAGCTGTTTGCCTGGGTATCAGCAGCAGAGGCTGCAGAACAGTGGATATTGGTGAACAACAAATGTTGCTGCCCGATCGTTCCTGTGGAAGTTTTGTCTCAGAGGAGTACCTGGCCATGTGAGGTGTCAGTCTGCCCCTGCTGGTGGGTGCCTCCCAGTTAGGCTACTTAGGGGTCACAGACCCACTTGAGGAGTCAGTCTGTCCATTCTCAGATCTCCAGCTGCGTGCTGGGAGAACCACTACTCTCTTCAAAGCTGTCAGACAGGGACATTTAAGTCTACAGAGGATTCTGCTGCCTTTTGTTTGGCAATGCCCTGCCCCCAGAAATGGAGTCTGTGGAGGCAGGCAGGCCTCCTTGAGCTGCAGTGGGCTCCACCCAGTTCCAGCTTCCTGGCTGCTTTGTTTACCTACTCAAGCCTCAACAATGGCAGGCTCCCCTCCCCCAGCCTTGCTGCCGCCTTGCAGTTTGATCTCAGACTGCTGTGCTAGCAATGAGTGAGGCTCCGTGGGCATAGGACCTTTTGAGCCAGACACGGGATATAATCTCCTGGTGTGCCATTTGCTAAGACTGTTGGAAAAGCGCAGTATTAGGGTGGGAGTGACCGGATTTTACAGGTGCCATCTGTCACCCCTTTCTTTGACTAGGAAAGGGAATTCCCTGACTCCTTGCACTTCCCAGGAGAGGCAATGCCTCATGCTGCTTTGGCTCATGCTCGGTGCACTGCACCCACTGTCCTACACCCACTTTCTGACACTCCCCAGTGAGAAGAACCTGGTACCTCAGTTGGAAGTGCAGAAATCACCCGTCTTCTGCACCGCTCAGGCTGGGAGCTGTAGACTGGAGCTGTTCCTATTTGGCCATCTTGGCTCAACCCCCTAGTTAATTTTTGTGTCTTTAATAGAGACAGGGTTTCATCATATTGGCCAGAGTCGTCTTGAACTCCTGACTGAAGTGATCCACCCACCTCAGTCTCTGCAAGTGCTGGGATTACAGATGTGAGCCACTGTGCCTGGTCAATTGCTGGACGTTCATGATACACCTGGAGTATCCACAGTATCACAAGGGCCATTTTTTTCCATAATCCAATTTATTTATATTATTGGTAGTGAGCTAATGTTGATGTCCCCAAGGTAGCAATTTAGTGACTATACCCATGATAAACGTTTCCATGCATCACGTGGTCAACAGCATTTGCTACCAAGTGCCACGTTCCATGCTCAGCAGTGGGAACACAGGATGATGGAGACAAAGTTCCTGACCTTTAGCAGCAATATCGAACAAGTGAGATTGTCAAGAAAGAAGAAATAATTGTAAAACATACCATACCCCTACAATTCCGTAATCATGCTCCTGGATATTTAATGAAGTGAGTAAACCCACACCTGGATGTTTACAGCAACTTACTCATAATCGCCAAAACTTGGAAGCTAGCAAGTTGCCCTTCGGTCAGTGACTGGATAAGCAAACTGATCCATCCAGTCAGTGAACTATTATAAAGCTGTAAAAAGACATGAAAAATTCCTAAATGCACGTTATTGTACAAGTGAAAGAAGGCAATCTGAAAAGACTCATCCTGTTAGACATTCCAGAAAAAGCTTTTGCATTTTTCTAAGGAGACAGTAGAAAGCCCAGTGGATGCAAGGGGTTGGGAGCACAATGGGATGAATGGGAAGAGGACAGAGGAATTTTAGGGAAAGAAAACTACTGTCCATGATGCTCTAATGGTGGATACATGTCATTATCCCTTTGTTAAAATCCATAGAATGTACAAAACCAGCAATGATCCCTCATGTGAACTATGGACATTGGGTGATAATGATGTGTCCCTGTGGCTCATTGGTTGTGATGAATGCTCTGTGCTGGTGTGGGTGCTGATCCTGTGGGGGTGCTGTGTATTGAAGGGGGAAGAAGGTAGATGAGAACTCTGCAGTTTCTGCTTAGTTTTTCTGTGAATCTAAAACTGCTGTAAAGGAAAAAATAGGCTGGGTGTGGTGGCTCACGCCTATAGTCGTAGCATTTTGGGAAGCCGAGGCAGGTGGATCACCTGAGGTCAGGGGTTCCAGACCAGCCTAGCTAAAATGACAAAACCCTGTCTCTACTAAAAAAAATAATAATAATAATACAAAAATTAATCAGGTGTGGTGTTGCATGCCTGTAATCCCAGCTACTCTGGAGGCTGAGACAGGAACATTGCTGGGACCCTGGAGGCAGAAGTTGCAGTGAACAGAGATCGTACCTCTGCACTCCAGCACGGATGACAGAAGGAGACTCCATCTCCAAAATAAATAAATAAATAAACTCAAGGCTGGGTGCGGTGGCTCATGCCTATAAGAGCTCACTCCCAGCAATTTAGGAGGCCGAGGCAGGTGGATCGCTTGAGCCCAGAATTTCAAGACCAGTCTGGGCAACATGTTGAAGCCTGGTCTTCACTAAGAATACAAAAATAAGTCAGGCATGATGGTGCATGCCTGTTGTTCCAGCTACTAGGGGGACTGAGGCAGGGAGATCACCTGAGCCTAGGAGGTCAAGGCTGCAGTAAGCCGTGATCATGCCACTGCACTCCAATCTGGACAACAGAGTGAGACTTTGTCTCCAAATAAAATAAAATAAAATAAAATAAAATAAAATAAAATAAACTCAATATTTTTTAAAACTGTAATGTTTCCTTTCAAAGCTAAAATTGTATTATTCTAAATATATTTTAAAGAAGAAATGATTATTGTTCAGTGTCTTTAAAATTAGTTTTTAAAATCTCATTTGTTTTGACATTTCAAACCAAGTTAAGTATTCTTTTTCTCACCCTCCTTGAGACGGAGTCTTCCTCTTTCACCCAGGCTGGAGTGCAGTGGTGCATTCTTGGCTCACTGCAACCTTTGCCTCGCAGGTTCAAGCGATTCTCTTGCCTCAGCCTCCTGACTATCTGGGATTACAGGCACCTGTCACCACGCCAGGCTAATTTTTTGTATTTTTCGTAGAGACCGGGTTTCATCATGTTGGCCAGGCTGGTCTGGAACTCCTGACCTCGTGATCTGCCCACCTCGGCCTCCCAAAGTGCCAGGAATACAGGCATGAACCACCACACCTGGCCATTAACCATTCTTGAAATATCACGTTGCATTCTTTAAAAGTTCTAATCTTTCATATACATAAATTACAACACAAATATTTATACTCTAATAGTATTCACATTATAGTAAATTTTTTTTCATGCTCTGTCGCCCAGGCTGGAGTGAAGTGGTGCAATCTCGTCTCATTGCAACCCTCACCTCCCGGGTTCAAGTGATTGTCCTGCCTCAGCCTCCTGAATACCTGGGATTACAGGCGAATGCCACCACTCCCAGCAAATTTTGTGTATTTTTAGTAGAGATGGGGTTTCACCATGTTGGCCAGGCTGGTCTCAAAATCCTGAGGCTGCCTTGGCCTCCCAAAGTGGTGGGATTAGAAGTGTGAGACACCATGCCCGGCCATAATAATAAATTTTATTTTATCTTTTTTTTTGAGATGGAGTTTTGCTAGGGTTGCCCAGGCTGGAGTGCAATGGCTCAGTCTGAGCTCACCACAACCTCCACCTCCAGATTCAAATGATTCTCCCGCCTCAGCCTATCGAGTAGCTGCAATTACAGACGTGCGCCACCACGCCTGGCTAATTTTTTGTATTTTAAGTAGAGAAGGGGTTTCTTCATGTTGCTCAGGCTGGTCTCAAACTCCCAACCTCAGGTGATCCACCTGCCTCAGCCTCCCAAAGTGCTGGAATTACAGGCGTGAGCCACTGCACCTGGCTCATAATAGTACATTTTTGAAAACACCATAAAATATAATCCTTGCAACACTCAATTATACCATCTGGTCGGATCTATCAGCAGATGGCACCCGAGACATACGGATTGGAAATTTTGATCTTATTATGAATGAATCCAGTCCAGAAATGCCCACCCTGCCCCCTGCTGGCTCCTGGGGCTCTGCTCTTTGGGGGAATCATGATGAAATTGTGGCAGAGAGTAGAAGTTGAGCCCCATTGCATGCCCTGAGTTCTTGTTGCCTCTCTATTATCAGGAAAAGGAGGTGAGATTGAAAGATGAAAAGTGCTGGGACTTCTGCTGAGAAGAGAAAAAAGAACAAGATGTATTGATCTTACTGTATGCCAGACCCCATGCCAAGCCCTAAACATGAACCATCTCATTGGATCCTACCAAGGTCCCATAAGCTGTTGGACATCATCATCCTCATTTTACAGGAAGCTGAGGCTCTAGGCTAACATCCCTGACAGCAACACCAGCCCCTGAGTACTCAGCAGGATCCTTCACTTGGGTGCCCATTATGCAGAATTCCTCAGCACAGGGAAGGTCACTCATCACCCACAGGCCCTTGATCGTTATCCACCCTTTGATGCTGTCAGATTCCAGAACACGCTGCACTAGTACTAGTCTCTTCCTTCATAGGGAGAGAGGGGAGGTGTTATGAGAAAATCTCTCATCAATCTGACCTAGCTCCCCAAAAAGATGTAACTTTTAAAATGTCAGATGGAAATATTTAAAAAGTGTTACATGCCTGTATAGTTTTAGTATTTTACTTAAAGGGAATGTGGCTGTCTTTACTGGCTACAACCAGTTTAATTCAAGAAGGGCTGCTGGTCATCAGGAGAACAAGCAAGGGTTGATGCTGCCCAGAGTCTCCAGCTAATACACAATATGGACATCCCCTTCCAGGGCAGTGGGAAGAGAGTGGGTCCTTGTGCAGTGAAGCTGACATCCACCAAATAAGGCTTCTGGAAGCATGTGGAGACTCACAGGGAGTGGGCAGGGTCTCAGCATCTGGCTAGCGGTGAAAGACCCTGAGAAGAAGGTGCTGTCCGTGTGGATTGGCTCACTGTTCTTGCCCAGTAATGTTCCAGGCCTTTGGTGTCCACCTAGTGTGTATTAACCCACTGAACAGCCACAGAAACTAACAAGGAGTTAACAGACATCTAAAGAAGTGAAGAACTAGAGGAGGCCAACCCAAGCGTGGTGGTCCACGCCTATACTCCCTGCATTTTGGGAGGCCAAGGCAGGAGAATCACAAGCTCAGGAGTTCCAGATCAGCCTGGGGAAGACAGCGAGGCCTTGTCTCTACTAAAAAGAAGTATCCAGGTGTGGTGGCTCACACAGCTGTAGTCCTAGCTACTCAGGAGGCTGAGGTGGGAGGATCACTTGAACCCAGGAAATTTAGGTTGCAGTGAGGTATGATTGTGCCACTGCACTCTAGCCTGAGTGACAGGAGACCTTTAAAAAACAAAAACAAAAAAAAGCCTGACACAGTGGCTCACACCTGTAACCCCAGCACTTTGGTAGGCCTACTTGCTTGAATCACCCAAAGTCAGGAGTTTGAGACCAGCCTGACCAACATAGTGAGGAAACCCTGTCTCTACTAAACATACACAAATTAGCTGGGCATGGTGGTGCATGCTTGTAATCCCAGCTACTTGGGAGGCTGAGGCAGAAGAATCATTTAAACCCCAGGTGGAGGTTGCAGTCAGCTCAGATGGCACCATTGCACTCTAAACTCCAGCCTGGGCAACAAGAGTGAAACTCTGTCTCCAATAAAAGAATGGGAGGAAACTGATTACAATAACCAAATTTCATTTAAATGCCTTGATTTTCTTGGGCTGCATCTTATTGATTGGACAACTCAGTCAGTGCCTTTTGTTTTTTCCATCAATAACTGAAGATTCCTGAGGCTTAAACTGGAAAACAGGTTACTTAATAATAGAGGGCACCAGACAGATTCTGCTCAGTTTTCCTTTATTTCTGATTGTTTCTTTACAACCATCCATGCAAGAGTAACTCCCTCATGTATTCTCAAGCCTGAACTCCACTCTAGACATTCAGATTCCCATTTTCGACTCTACAGGATACAGGTCCCCAAAGTCCCATCGAATCCATGGCAACATTTCCCCCAAGTCCTGCCCCTGCTTGATCAGCTTTCCTTTCCCACTTTCAGAGCCTATGTGTGAAATGATGGGTTCTGTGCTCCCTTTAGGATGTACCTAAGACCTAGGTTTTAGTTTCCAAGTGTCCAGAAGAAAGCGTTTGACATACCCATCCAAATAGGCAGGCATTCAACAGCAGTATTGATCTGCCTCCAGGTCATAAAATGACCTGTTGCCACAGTCAGGGCAGTTATCAATACAGAAAAAGATCCTCTTGGGGTGCCTTAAGTCCCTCACTCTGTTCATCAGCTCAGCCCTAATTTGAGCAAATCTGTTCCAGCAGAGAGTACCATCAGCACCATAACTCTCCCGCGGGGCAGGATACACCTCCACGCATAAGTTTTTGAGTATGATTGTGTGGCTCAGCAGGTTCTCCAGGGTGGCCATGGAGATGGGATTTCCACAGAAGCTGAAGGCATTGAGCTCAAAGCAGCGGCTCAGGGCAGGCAGGATGGCGTTGACTTGGGAGTCTATGATGCCACAGTCATCTAAATCCAAGTACTCAAGGGTGGCTGCAACTTTTTCTAGGAGAATTTGGAGAGGCACAAGACTGTAATTGGTCAGTCTGATGCCACTCAGGTCCAGGGTCTTTAGTTGACTGATACTCGGGCACTGGGATAGATGCTTCAAGTCTGATTCCAAAAGCACACAGTTAGTTATTGTGAGGACCTTTAACGAGGTCTTCAGACAGCTGGGGAGAGAGAGCAAGAAGTTAATTCTGGGGAATCATAGGGGTGAGTGGAGGGTGGTGGGGAATGGCTTCAAGGTAATGGATGGAGACCATTTTGCCCAAGTCCAGGGTCATTCTGATGGCCTGATGGTCAACACTTAGAATGATGTGTGATGAAGAGCTTTGCCACCGAGGTCAATTCCACCTTAGAGCCGGCCCAGTAACTCACACCTGTAATCCCAGAACTTTGGGAGGCTGAGACTGGTGGATTCCTTGAGATCAGGAGTTTGAGACCAGCCTGCTGAACATGGCAAAACCTCCTCTCTACTAAAAATCCAAAAATTAGCCAGGTGTGGTGGGGGGAGCCTGCAATTCCAGCTACTTGGGAAGCTGAGGCAGAAGAATCGTTTGAACCCAGGAGGTGTAGGTTGCAGTGAGCAGAGATCATGCCACTACACTCCAGCCTGGGTGACAGAGAGAGACTCTGTATTAAAAAAAAAGAAGGAAAAAAAATAATTCCATTTGAGGCTGAGTCATTTCACCATCATTTATAGGAATGGATCAAGTTCACAGAATCCCTAAAGCTCCCTTTCCTCATCTGTCAGGCAGAAAACCACATCCCTGGGCCACAGAAGCCCAGTGGAGATTCAGGCATAAAGGACAAACCCAGACAGGATCCTGCAACATCAGCTGGGGTGGGCGGGCTGTAGGCGTCCCTGCCATGCCTGTATCATCAGCAAACCATCTATCACTTTCACCATTCTTTGTGCCTGCTCCCTGACCCTCTGTTTCAGAATCATGCATTGCCTAGGTAATTAATTTACCTGGAGCTCAAAACACTTTTACAACAGGGAATTAGAGATGGGATCATTCATGTTCACCAAACTATGGGGCACAAAGCTGATTTTCTGACATGTGCAGGTTTGCTGAGCATTCCCCTCTTCAGTGCCCACTTCACTTCCCTACTTTACATCATCTGCTTAAAAATTATCTTGTTGGCTGGGCGTGGTAGCTCTCGCCTATAATCCCAGCACTTTGGGAGTCCAAGGTGGGCGGATCACCTGAAGTCAGGAGTTGGAGAATATCCTGGCCAACATGGTGAAACCCTGTCTCTACTTAAAATATAAAAATTAGCCAGGTGTGCTGACTCATGCCTGTAATCCCAGGCACTCAAGAGGCTGAGGCAGGAGAATCGCTTGAACCTGGGAGGCAGAAGTTGCTGCGAGCTGAGATGTCACAAGTGCACTTTACCCTGGATGATCAAAGTGAAAATTCATCTCAGAAAAAAAAAAAGTTATCTTGTTTGTTTTTACTTTTATTTCTTCACTTCTGACAGGGGTCTTGGGATGTTACCCAGACTGGTCTTAAACTCCTAGGCTCAAGCTATCCTCTTGCCTCAGACTCCCAAAGTGATAGGATTACAGGCATGAGCCACCGCCCCTGGCCTATTTTTCATCATCTTAACTTAGACACACGTCCTCAGGAAGAATTCAGAAAGGCACCCTCACTAGATCTGAACCCCCCAGTAGCTAGCTTCCTAGTATGACAACCTCTCTATAGCATCTCCCCTAGCTGATCCCTCTGCCTCTATTGGGATGGTTGCATGATACCCATTTCAGGACAGGGCCGCCAACAGGACAATGTATGGACATTCTAGTGTCCCCTTCACTGTTACATCCTCATAGGCTGGCTCACAGTAGATGCCCACTAGCGTTTAGTGAAACAGGCTCTGCTGTGGTCTGCAGAGAAAGCTCACCACCCTCCCTCACCTGAGCAGCTGGTCCAGGTGGCCTTCGAGGAAAGAAACAGAGTTCATATAAAGCTTTTGGAGGCAGTGCAGCTTGAGGAACTGAGTGGTGAACTGGGTAACAATCTCCTTCTTCTGCTCTGGGGAAACGTAGCGAGAGACATCCATGTGAGAGAGAACGAGCTTCTGAAGATTCCTCATGTGGCCCAGGTATGGGGTAAACTGTGTCAGGATGGGCAGTACCCACTTGCAATTCACTTCCACCTCCTGGATACAGTCTAGGTTCACCATTTTCAGGATGCTTCTGATATTGCGGAAGGGCATTCCCAAAATTTTCAGCTTCTTACAGCACAGGTGTAGTAAATCTTTCCTCTGCTTGACCCATAGAAGGAGGTAGGTGAGGTATTCATCCAGAGTCCTGTTCTTGAGCCAAAGTTCTACGAACACAGTCAAGGGCTGCTGTCCTCTCATCCTTGGACAGTCCTGCACTGGTGTTTTGTTCCTCTTGGCATTGAGGAAGGACCCACGGGCCATAGCTTCAGACCAAACCATCCAGAAGTTCTCACAGACATCCTGTAAATCCAGCACTTGAAGTTTCCACCTCCTGTGGGAAAATAGAGGTGAGACTGAGAATTTAAGAACTCATTTCTGAATTTAAACTCCACATCCTGGATAGCAGCTCCTCCCCTCCCTGCTTCTTGTCCCTCTCTCTGACTTTTCTTCACTCTGTTCTCCCCTTGGATCCTACCCACTTCCACATTTTTTTGTTTTTTTTTTTGAGACCAAGTCTCCCTCTGTCGCCCAGGCTAGAGTGCAGTGGTGTGATGTCACCTCACTGCAACCTCTGCTTCCTGGGTTCAAATGATTCTCCTGCCTCAACCTCACAAGTAGCTGGGATTACAGGAGCCCACCACCATGCCCAGCTAATTTTAGTATTTTTAGTAGAGTTGGGGTTTACCATGTTGGACAGGCTGGCCTCCAACTCTTGACCTCAGCCTCCCAATGTGCTGGGATTACATTGTGAGCCACCGTGCCCGGCCCAGTTCTCACTTTTCATGGTGCCTTTCAGTGCCATTAGAGGAGAGGTTCCTGTTACCTCCATGGACCTTGCGTGGTGAGCAGTGCTTTCCCTGAGGAGCTGGTGAATGGCCAAGTCCTCTCGGCTTCCTCACCACCACCATCCCCCTTGGGCCTCCTCACTTCACATGACCCAGCTGTTCCTTCAGTTGGACACCTGGGCCCTCCCCACCAGCCCACCTGGGCCACCTCACCTGGGACAAACCCCTTGGGTAAGCAGTGCATCAAGCCCATCGAGCACAGCTTGGAAGGCCTCCAGACAAGGCATCTTTATCAGAGGCCTCAGAGGGAGGCGGCGGAAGGGCCAGGCCTGCACCATCAGCTTCAGGGCCTCACAGCATCTCCTGCTGAAGGCCTCCATGAACAGTGGGGGGAAAAGTTCTGTGGGCAGCTCCTCCAGGGTGGACATGGCCAAGGCTTGGTCCCTCAGCAGGCTCCGCCCCGCAAGCTCCAGGAGTCTGGGTGGAGTCCGGATGCTCATCTTCATGAATCTGCAGGGAAAACTTCCAGAGGACAAACCCAGAGAAAAGGCATCACTCTCAGGCCAAGCCCATGCAATCTCATCTTCTCCTATGGCCAAACTCACTGCTCTGGCAATGGTGAAACAGCCCTCAGTTTACTCCAATTCTGCCCTGTACTCAGTGGCCATTAAGCCAGCATTGTGCCTCTGCTGCATCAGCATGAGCGTCTCCGAAGCAGTGAGGAAGCAGGGTCACCACGAGCCCTTCCTTTCTATCCAGTGCTCCATCCAGTGACTAGTGAGTGTGGAGGAACCTGAAAGTGAACCCCTCCTACCATTGGGGGAAATTACTGATTACTCAAGGTTCTAAAACAATGGGAATGGGAGTGTCACAAGCCTACATGCCCACATTTTCAGTTCCTACAAATAAGTTTGTTGGGAACATTCATGGGACATCCCTAGAACAGGTTCTATTTGTTTTCTTTTCATTATTTAAGCTTGCTTTCTCTTTCTCTCTCTTTCTTCTTTCCTTCTTTCCCTCTCTCCCTCCCTTCTTTCTTTCTTTCCCCCTCTCTCTCCCTTCTTTCTTTCTTGTCTTCTTTCCCTGCATCCCTTCTCTCATTCTCTCTCTCTTTCTCTCTCTCCCTCTCTCACTCTTTCTGACAGGGTCTTGCTCTGTCACCCAGCCTGGAGTGTAGTGGTGGGATCTCAGCTCAGTGCAGCCTTGACCTCCCAGCTCAAAGGATTCTTCCCCCTCAGCCTCCCAAGTAGCTGGGACCACAGTTATGCATCACCACACCCAGCTCATCTTTTATGTTTTGACTTTTTGTAAAGACAGTGGATTTCGCTATGTTGTCCAAGCTGGTCTTGAACTCCTAGTCTCAAGCAATCTACCCCTCTTGGCCTCCCAACATACTGGGATTATAGGTGTGAGCCTCTGCCCCAGCCTCGTTATTGAAAATTTCAGTGAGAAGCTTTGAAAGCTATGTGACACTGTTATGCATCATTCTCAAGATAGATGTTTCCAATGCACACCTCTTACACATATTCAAACTGAACCACTTTGGCTGGGTGCAGTGACTCACACCTGTAATCTGAGCATTTTGTGAGGCCGAGGCAGGTGGATCATCTGAGATCAGGAGTTCAAGACGAGCCTGGCCAACATGGTAAAACCCTGCCTCTACTAAGACAGCAAAAATTAGCCAGGTGCAGTGGTCTGCGCCTGTAGTCCAAGCTACTAGGGAGGCTGAGGTAGGAGGATCACTTGAACCCAGGAGGCAGAAGTTGCAGTGAGCTGACATTATACTACTCCACTCCAGCCTGGGGAATAGGCTAGATTGAACTGAGAGACAGAGAGAGCTACATTTGACTAGACTTCTTAATCTCTACCCAGTTAATCCTTATTGGATTTTTGGCTTTCTTAAAGAATAACTGATCGAATTAGATATTAATCCATCAAAATGAAAGATTTAGGGATAGGGTGAAAGTCCAGGACTCATTCACCGATTCCCTTCACAAACATGGACTTCCACTAATATGTGTCCTTCAAAGTCCTGAGTGTGAGACAGGGAAGGGTTGAATCTCTTCCTGATATTAGACAGAAAGAAAGAAAACTTGAAAGTATCTTTGTTGAGGGATCCTTGGCCACATCAAATTTATCAAAATATTTCAGAGTTAAAACAGTTTTCAAAGACAGAGATGACAGTCCCTAAGAAAACACAATAGAAATCTTCATGTATCCGATGATCACCTGGGTCATATAATTTTTTTTGGTGCTGAGGGAGCTGAGTCTCACTTCGTCGCCCAGGCTGGAGTGCAGTGGCACCATCTTGGCTCACTGTTACCTCCAAGATTGCCTCCAAGATTCAAGCAATTCGCATGCTTCAGCCTTCCACGTAGCTGGGACTACAGGCAGGCACCCCCCACAGCCATGTCTCCATTTGGGTGGAAGAGGATGTGATTGGTTTAAAATTAAGGTCAAAGATCCTTTTTGATTGATTTTGTTTTTGTTTTTGGACAGAGTGTCTCTCTTTTGCCCAGGCTGGAGTACAGCAGTGGTGTGAGCATAGCTCACTGCAGCCTCAATCTTCTGGACTCAAGTGATTCTCCCACACCAGCCACCCAAATAGCTGGGACTACAGATGCATGGTGACTCACAGCTGTAATCCCAGCACTTTGGGAGGCCAAGGCAGGTGGATCACTTGAGGTCAGGTGTTCGAGACCAACCTGGCCAGCGTGGTGAAACCCCACCTCTACTAAAAATACAAAAATTAGCCAGGCATGGTTTCAGATGTCTGTGACACCAGCTTCTGAGGATGGAGACTGAGGCATGAGAATTGCTTGAACCCAGGAGTTAAAGGTTGCAGGGAGTTGAGATCGTGCCACTGCACTCCAGTCTGGGCAACACAGTGAGACTCCATCTCCACCCTCAAAAAAAACGTTGTGTAGAGGAGGGTTTTTGTCATGTTGCCCAGGTTGGTCTCAAACCCCTGGGCTGAAATGATCCTCCCACTTTGGCCTCCCAAAGTGTTGGGGTTAAAGGCGTGAGTCACTGCTCCCTTCAAGAATTTTAAAATGGCATCAACCAAAGCACAATCAACTTTTTTGAAATAAAGACAGAACTGCATTTAGAGGAAAAAATTCAAAGCTTCAAATTGTTCATATATATATATAAAAAAGGACAGGATATAGCTCTGTGCCATCGTAGGCTGCACTGTCACCATCCCAGACTGACTGACTCTAGGTCAGATGGGAGTGTCCTTACAGAAATTAGTGACTTACCAGATCTGGATGTAGTTTAGAAGGTGCTCAGACCTCAGGAAGAACCAGGCAGGAACTCCAGGCTTGAAGACTTTGGGTCTCTCCTGTGGGTCTTTAGAAGCTTTTATTGACCTTTCTAATCACAACTCCCACCCACGCCCTTCCACGTGTGCACTGCTAGCTTCCAATCAAAAAGCCATATCTGATTGCATTTCTGAAGCTCCACCCAGTTAATCCTGATTGGGTTTTTGGCTCTCCCCAGATTAATGGATTGAGTCAGATATCCATTCATATCACATATCTATATTCAGTTCGTGAAGCAAGAAATTGACAGTGTTAGGGATAAGGTAGAAGTCAAGAATACATTGATTCACTGGTGGGCAAGGTGGCTCATACCTGTAATTCCAGCACTTTGGAAGGACAAGGTGAGTAGATCACCTGATGTCAGGGGTTCAAGACCAGTCAGGTCAAAAAGGTGAAACCCCGTCTCCACAAAAATACAAAAATACAAAAATTAGCCCGGCATGATGGCAGGTGCCTGAAACACAGCGACTCAGGAGGCTGAGGCAGGAGAATTGCTTGAACCCAGGAGGCAATGGTTGCAGTGAGCCAGAATTGTGCCACTGCACTCCAGTCTGGGTGACAGAGGGAGATTCTGTCAAAAAATAAAAAAATCATTCATTCATGAACTCCACAAACACTGATTTTTTTTTATTAATATGTGAACTTCATAGTCTTGAGTGTGAGGCAGGGAAGGATTTGATCTGTTTACGACATTAGACAGAAAAATAAAATCTGAAAGTAGTGTTGTTAGGAGATCTTTGGCCACATCAAAATATAAAAATGCTTTCTACTTTAAAACTTTTTAAAAACAGAGGAGTCGTCCCTACGAAATCAGAATAAAAATCTCAATGTACTGAATGGTCTTTGGGATTTTGTATAACCTAAGGTAGCAGATTACATGCTCGTTCTGGTGGAGGAGAGGTGCCACTGAGGGCGTGAGTGGTCTCAGGGCTTAGGTTAAGGCTTCTTTGGAAGAAATTGAAACCACATCTCTAAAATTTATAAATTTAATCAGTGAAGAAGGGAGGGAGAGAAACAAAAATAAACCAAGCTTGCAACACATTCAGCATTCATCAGGAGGTCTTCTTGCTCTCTGACCTGGTTCCTCATGGTTGCCGCAACCTACTGTTCCAAAATCATATAGACCTTAGATTACAGTTCCCCTTAACTTCCCTGCAGACAACCATTTAAGCATTGTAAAACATTAACTTTTTCATCTGAGATATTCTTTCAGGTTCTGCATGTCAGTGAAACTGCTGATGCCAGCTGATCTGAAGGGCCATGCAATGCACCAACTCACCAAAGAATGCAGTTTCTACATCCTGTTGACTTCTTCCCTCTTACCGCTACCCCAACTTTCTGGCCCCTTGCTATCCAGGATCCACTGGAAACCTTCAGTACTCCTTGGGGAGATGAATTTGAGGATCTCCTCCTAGCTTCTCATTCAGCCACCTTGTGATCATTAAACTCTCTGCTGCAAACCCTGCTGTCTCAGAATATTGCTAAACTACTGTGCAGCAGGCATAGGAACCTGATGGTCCTTTAATAAAGTCATGTCAAAATTACAAATGGAAGTGAGGGTGGAGCTGGTCAGGGTTGAGCTGGGTTTTTAATGGGAACCTGGGAGTGAAGCAAGACTTGCAGGTCACATTGGGCAGGCTTCCAAATTCACCACCTATGGAAGGTCTTTCGCTTGGCTTACATCCTGTCCCTGAGTAAAGAGTCTGATCATGAGTTCATGAGTGCTTCAAACTCTACAAGTATTGATGAAGGCTTCCACCCACTGACAGTGAGAAGGCACTGATTTGATGCTGATCATGAAGTTCTGCTGGTTGTCTTGCAAGGAATATGTTTTATTCTTTTATCTTGTCATCTAAAGCCAATGATTGTAACCTCTGTTTGTCCCTTCCAATGGAAAAAACAAAAACAAAAAGTCAACTCTATTTGAGCCTTGTCAGGTCTATAAAACAAAAGAAAATTTAAAAAAATAATTGATAGGAGGAGTCCCATTCCCAGCCTGGGCAATAGAGTGAGACTCCATCTCAAAAGGAAAAAAAAAAAAAAAGGCCGGGCACGGTGGTGGCTCACACCTCTAATCCCAGCACTTCAGGAGGCCAAGGCAGGTAGATCACGATGCCAAAAAATTGAGACCATCCTAGCCGACATGGTGAAACCCTGTCTCTGCTAAAAATACAAAAATTAGCTGAGCATGGTGGCGCCCACCCATAGTACTAGCTACTCGAGAGACTGAGGCATGAGAGTCGCTTGAACTCAGGAGGAGGAGGTTGCAGTCAGCCAAGATTTCACCACTGCACTCCAACTTGGTGACAGAGCGAGACTCCGTCTCAAAACAAACAAACACAAACGAACAAACAAACAAAGAAAAAAGCTGGAAAAATAAATTCTGAAAGAATTTCCATCTCTATGAATTCATCTTCAGAAGTGATAGCATTTCCTGCTTGGCATTTTTTGCCTACATTTTTGGCATAAGATCTAACAACAAAAAGTATGAGCCCAGGTTTGTGTAATGGAATATCTTAAACATCAATAGGAGGAGTCAATAGTTCTGATGCCACACACACACACGTATGGTCTTCTCCATCATCAGAAAATGGCAACAAAGTGGTAGAGTTATGCAGAGTGTAGCATTTGAAATGGAGATTTGAAGGTGACAAGGAAAGGATTTTGTAAGACATTAGTGTACAAGTTGAGCAATGTTGGTTCCTGTCACAATATTTTTATTGATTTATTTATTTTATTCATTTATTTTTTGAGATGGAGTCTCGCTCCGTCACCAGGCTGGAATGCAGTGGCACGATCTCAGCTCACTTCGACCTCTGCCTCCCCGGTTCAAGCAATTTTCCTGCCTTAGCCTCCTAAATAGCCGGGACTACAGGTGCATGCCACTACACCTGGCTAATTTTTTGTATTTTTAGTAAAGACGGGGTTTCACCATGTTAACTAGGATGGTCTCAATCTCCTGACTTCGTGGTCTGCCCGCCTCGGCCTCCCAAAGTGCTGGGATTACAGGCCTCAGCCACCATGCCTGGTCGGTTCACATCAAAATTTAAGAGGTATTCAATTGCATATGAAATTTGTAGGCAAAGTTTATTTCTTTTTTCTTTAAAGCATTAATTAATTTATTTATTTATAATGTATTTATTTATTAATTTTTTTTTGAGATGGAGTTTCACTCTTGCTTTCCAGGCTGGAGTGCAATGGTGCGATCTCGCCTCACTGCAACCTCTGCCTCCCGGTTCAAGTGATTCTCCTGCCTCAGTCTCCCAGTTAGCTGGAATTACAGGCACAGGCCACCACACACAACTAGTTTTTGTATTTTTAGTAGAGACAGAGTTTCACCATGTTGCCCAGGCTGGTCTGGAACTCCTGACCACAGGTGATGCACCCACCTCGGCCTCTGAAAGTGCTGAGATTACAGGCGTGAACCACCGTGCCCGGCCTAAACTCATCACTTTTAATACTTTCTACATCACATGAGGAAGAAGAGCAGAAACACTTGAGTACTTCATGAAGGTCAAGGTTGGTATGAGTTTGGGTTCTAATATGATCAATTTCTGCTTCTAGGGAACCAAGCAGTTCAGGTTAAGGAAGGTCAGGAAGCTATTTTAACTATAAAGCATTTTTAAAATATTGATGTGGCCAAAGATCTCCCAACAACACTATTCTCAGGTTTTATTTTTCTGTCTAATGTCCAGAACAGATCAACCCCTTCCCTGCCTCACACCCAGGGCTATGAAGGTGACATATCAGTAAAATTCCATCAGTGCTTGTGGAGTTCGTGAATGAAGGCATTCTGTTGTTGTTGTTGTTGTTGTTGTTGTTGTTGACAGAGTCTCCCTCTGTCACCCAGTCTGGAGGGCAGTGTGCAATCTCGGTTCACTGCAACCTCAGCCTCCTGGGTTCAAGCAATTCTCCCACCTCAGCCTCCCAAGTATCCGGATTACAGGCAGCCGCCATCATGCCCGGCTAATTTTGTATTTTTGTAGAGACAGGGTTTCACCATATTGGTCAAGCTTGTCTTGAACTCCTGACCTCAGGTGATCCGCCTGTCTTGGCCTCCCAAAGTGCTGGGATTACAGGCATGAGCCAACTCAGCTGGCCTTAAATGAATGAATTCTTGATTTCCACTCTATCCCTAATGCTGTCAATTTCTTGATTCATGAAATGAATATGGGTATGTGATATGAATGGATATTTGGTTCAATCCATTAATCTGGGGAAAGCCAAAAACCCAATCAGGATTAGCTGGGTGGAACTTCAGAAATGCAATGAGATATTGCTTTTTGATTGGAAGCTAGCAGTGCATACATGGAAGGGCGTGGGTGGGAGTTGTGATTAGAAAGGTCAATAAAAGCTTCTAAAGACCCACAGGAGAGACCCAAAGTCTTCAAGCCTGGAGTTCCTGCTTGGTTCTTCCTGAGGTCTGAACACCCTGCAAACTGAGCCCAGATCTGGTAAGTCACTAATTTCTGTAAGGACACTCCCATGGGACCTACAGTCAGCCGATGTAGCATGGTGACAGTGCAGCCTACGACAGAGCAGAGCTATATCCTGTCTTTTTTTTCTTTTTTTCATATGAACACTTTGAAGCTTTGATTTTTTTTTCTAAATGCAGTTTTGTCTTTATTTCAAAAATGTTGATTGTGCTTTTCTTTACGTCATTTCAGAATTCTTGTTGGGAGCCATTTTGTGAAGAGACGAAGACTGAGCTGGTTTGGCTGCATTTCTGGCCTCGAGCCGCAGTCAGCTTCTCCACGTAGAACCCGGCAGTAGGAGACTTAGAATCGAATCTCTTCTCCCTCCCGCCTCCTGTTTTTGGCTTTTTGAGAAACCTTATCATCCAACACAATGGCCAGCAACGTTACCAACAAGATGGATCCTCACTCCATGAACTCCCGTGTGTTCATTGGGAATCTCAACACTCTTGTTGTCAAGAAATCGGATGTGGAGGCGATCTTTTCCAAGTATGGCAAAATTGCGGGCTGCTCTGTTCATAAGGGCTTTGCCTTCGTTCAATATGATAAGGAGAAAAATGCCCGGGCTGCTGTAGCAGGAGAGGATGGCAGAATGATTGCTAGCCAGGTTGTAGATATTAACCTGGCTGCAGAGCCAAAAGTGAACCGAGGAAACGCAGGTGTGAAACGATCAGCAGCAGAGATGTACGGCTC
This sequence comes from Homo sapiens, assembly GCF_000001405.40. Taxonomy (NCBI): domain Eukaryota; kingdom Metazoa; phylum Chordata; class Mammalia; order Primates; family Hominidae; genus Homo; species Homo sapiens. The sequence continues at coordinate 57,261 of NW_015495298.1, forward strand.
CTCTTTTGACTTGGACTATAACTTGCAACGGGATTATTATGGTGGGATGTACAGTTTCCCAGCACGTGTACCTCCTCCTCCTCCCATTGCTCTGGCTGTAGTGCCCTCGAAACGCCAGCGCATATCAGGAAACACCTCACGAAGGGGCAAAAGTGGCTTCAATTCTAAGAGTGGAAAGCGGGGATCTTCCAAGTCTGGAAAGCTGAAAGGAGATGACCTTCAGGCCATTAAGCAGGAGTTGACCCAGATAAAACAGAAAGTGGATTCTCTCCTGGAAAACCTGGAAAAAATTGAAAAGGAACATTGCAAGCAAGGAGTAGAGGTAAAGAATGCTAAGTCTGAAGAGGAGCAGACCAGCAGCTCCTCGAAGAAGGATAAGACTCACGTGAAGATGGAGTCTGAGGGGGGTGCAGATGACTCTGTTGAGGAGGGGGACCTACTGTGTGATGATGATAATGAAGATCAGGGGGACAACCAGCTGGAGTTGATCAAGGATGATGAAAAAGGGGCTGAGGAAGGAGAGGATGACAGAGACAGGGCGAATGGCCAGGATGACTCTTAAGCACATAGTGGGGTTGAGAAATCTTATCCCATTGTTTCTTTACCTAGGTGCTTGTCTAACATCAAATTTTTCACCAGATCCTCTCCCTTAGCATCTTCAGCACATGCTTACTGTTCTCCCCATCCTTGTCCTTCCCACATTCATTAATTCATATTGCCCTGCACCTAGTTCCATTTTCACTTCCCTTGATGCTCCTAGAAGTTTTCTTAAGTCTTACCCTGCAATTTTTGCTTTTAATTTAGATACCTCCTTATGACTTAACAGTAAAAAGGATGTATGGTTTTTATCAACTGTCTCCAAAATAATCTCTTGTTATGCAGGGAATACAGTTCTTTTCATTTATACATAAGTTCAATAGTTGCTTCCCTAACTGCAAAGGCAATCTCATTGAGTTGAGTAGCTCCTGAAAGCAGCTTGGAGTTAGAAGTATGTGTGTTACACCCCATGTCAGTGTGCTGTGTGGGGCAGTTCAACAAAAATCTAACAATGTATTTTTGTGAATGAGAGTTGGCATGTCAAATGCATCCTCAGAAAAATAATTAGTGTTATACTCTTAAAATGTGTTTTCTAAAGTTGATACTGTGGGTTATTTTTGTGAACAGCTCCATGTTTGGGACCTTTTTTCCTCAAAATAAACAAGTCCTTATTAAACCAGGAATTTAAAGAAAAAAATTCTTGGTGGGAGCAGTGACTCATGCCTACAATTCCAACACTTTGGGAGGCCAAGGCAGGAGGATCATTTGAGCCCAGGGGCTCGAGACCAACCTGGGCAACATGGCAAAACCCTATCTCTACAAAACATTTGTTTTGAGGGGTGGGGATGGTATCTGGCTCTGTTACCCAGGCTGGAGTGCAGTGGCATGATCTCAACTCACTCCAACCTCTGCCTCCCAGGCTCAAGCGATTCTCATGCCTCAGCCTCCTGAGTAGCTGCGATTATAGCCACCCGCCACCATGCCTGGCTAATTTTTATATTTTTGGTAGAAACAGGGTTTCACCATGTTGGCCAGGCTGGTCTTGAACTCCTAACCTCAAGTGATCCACCTGCCTTGGCCTCCCAATGTGCTGGGATTACACCAGTGAGCCACCAACGCCCTGCTTCTTTTTTAAAAAATTAGCCGGGCATGGTGGCATGGATCTGTAGTCCCAGCTACTTGGGTGGCTGAGGTGGGAGAATCCCTTGAGCTCAGAAGATTGAGGCTGCAGTGAGCCATGTTCACACCACTGCTGTACTCCAGCCTGGGCAACAGAGTGAGACCTTGTCAAAAAAAAAAATCTTAACCAAACAGTTTTTTAAGAAAACCAATTAATTGTAATCAGTAGGCAGATCCCAAATTCCCCAAAAAAAGAAGAGAAAGAGAGTTTAGAAGGCTCTACGTGCTAGCATCCCATTCAGACTGTTTAATCCTACAATTGTGGTTTTGTAAGAAAAACAGTCTTAAAGATTTCCAATAATTCCCACAATGGCCATAAATTATCCTGGGTGTCATTTTCCCATCAATTTAAAAAGGCACATGAGAGGCCGAGTGCAGTGGCTCAGGCCTGTATTCCCAGCACTTTGGGAGGCTGAGGCGGGTGGATCAGCTGAGGTCAGGAGTTCAAGACAAGCCTGGCCAACATGGAGAAACTCCATTCCTACTAAAAATACAAAAAAGAGCCAGGCGTGGTGGCGGGCACCTGTAATCCCAGGTACTCAGGAGGCCGAGGCAGGAGAGGCACTTGAACCCAAGAGGTAGAGGTTGCAGTGAGCCGAGATCATGCCATTGCACTCCAGCCTGGCCACAGAGCCAGACACTATCTCCAAAAATAATAATAATTATTATAACAGCATGTCTATTCTCTCCAAAGTGTCTGGGACTGGACAATTAATTGTGAGGTCCTCTTCTGTAGCACCATACGCTATAACATATATGTGGATTTAAATAAATACACATACAAAATGCAAGTATATAGTCTATATGCTTTCCATATACTTATGTTCCATGAGGTCACAAGCAAATTCAAGGCTAGGTCAAAGAGTAGAGTGGCTGTCTATGGAAAGGAGAGTGGAAGTGAATCATGGTAATAAATGGAAATAGATACAGATATGAATAGGTAGACATACACACATATAGCTGCAAGAAACGGGGTTGTCGTGGACCAATGATGTCAGTGAGCCATGTAAAAAGGCTACAATTCTTGTGATTGTGTGTCCGTTTTCAGGATGGGTTGTAGATTACCTTTTTAGAAAGGCTGATGCCACAGTCATAGTCAAAAAAAATGATTATAAAATTTGCTTCCTTTCTGGAGCATCTCTGGAGAAATCTCCAATGGGAGGAGAACTCAGTTACTGGGCAGGTTATCACACAGGTAAGATTTTACTGATCCAATGGCACTAATATTAACTTCATTATCCTTCGTATTCTACAAAGGTTGAGTGAACAAACTGTATCTTGAAACTAAAATTAGCTGAACCAATAAAGGAGACTGCATTCTTTTTATTTTTTGTTTAGAGACAGAGTCTCTGTTGCCCAGGCTGGAGTACAATGGTGCTACCTTGGCTCACTGCAACTTCTGCATCCTGGGTTCAAGTGGTTCTCCTGCCTCAGCCTCCTGAGTAGCTGGGATTACAGGCACATGTCACCACACTGAGCTAACTTTTGTATTTTTAGCAGAAAGGGGGTTTCTCCATGTTGGCCAGGTTGGTCTCAAACCTCTGACCTTGGGATCTGCCTGCCTCAGCCTCCTAAAGTGCTGGGATTATAGGCGTGAGCCACCATGCCTGGTTGAATCTTTTTTACTTTTCTCAAGCATGGTGTCATAGTATTGGGTTCTATGCACTTAGAAGAGTGAGCCCATCGTTCAGTAACAATATGAATCAATACTGCAAGACCTTGATGCAGTATTTGAAAGACTATTTCCACTAGGTGAAGGAGGCTTTCAGTGATGCTTAGACCTTCATGCCCTAGCATTTGGAGATTGCATCCTTTAGAAATGACACCAAGGGAAATCTGCCCATGAACAGCATTGGATGGGACTGTACCAGATGACTTAAACTTAAGGATATCTGAGGAAAAGCCTTCCCTAGAAGCACACATCATCACCTGGTAGACAGCTTTTCCAAGACAATGGAACAAGACTCCATTTGATCTTCTTCCATTGACTGAGACTTGGTTTTGTTTTGTATTAACACAAAATTATCAAACCTATATTTTATGTTGTTAGGTACTTTCACCACTCAAACCAAACACTTTCTAAGATCTTCTGTTCAAAATGTAGCCACTCTCACTAACCAAAGCAATTGCTGGCTATGGAGTCATTTAGATGAAAGGGAAGGATCACACTTAATACTACAACCTGCTTTCGTACACAGTTGGGTAGCAATTGAGGATGCTAAATTCATGATAAGATTTGTTATCCTTCCTTTGGTAGGTTGGTTAATATTGATAATTAAATGACTTGGCATTGAGAAGAAGCTATAGGTGCAAATGAGTGGTCTATGACTATTATTGATTTCATTACTGGTAACTTATCTCTATGCATAGAAAACATTAGTGTAACTGGGTCTAATCTAGATGGTGTGCCAGACTCACACTAGAATAAACTCTGGTTTGATGCATATTATGAAGGCTGGAACGCTATAGTTATCGACATAGACACAGAATCAGAACATGACCATGTTACCCTCTGCCATATAATCAGAGAAACTTACTGAAACTAGATATTGGTTCATTGGAGATTCTAGAGGGAAATAGAATGCATCTATAGCTCTAGTATATGAAATAAATATTAGTTTTGTTTATTGGGTGCATCAATACTCAGGACATATTTGGAGAGGAACCTACTCATTCTTCTATGGAGATGACATGCAAGGATTACTTTATAAAAGACATAGAAATATTTTTTCTTCCCACCCCAATTCAAACCATTACCATACAACCTTGTGTCAATAGAAGATAAGGCTGTTGAGGTAGAAATAATTAACGAAAGCTTCACTGGAAGCTAAATGTGAGGATTGACCTGGAAGACACACACTGACAAAGTGGGTGTTTTCCAAAGTCTGTTACAAGTTGGAATGCTTTTGTAAGAAAGGTTAAAAGAAGGGAATGGGACTCCTCCTATCAGTTTGTTTTTAAATTTTCTTTTGTCTTATTGACCTGGCAAGGCTCAAATAGAATTGAGTTTTTGTTTTTGTTTTTTTCCATTGGACGGGACAAGACAGAGGTTACAATCATTGGCTTTAGATGACAACATAACAGGATAAAACGTATTCCTTGCAAGACAACCAGCAAAACTTCATGATCAGAATCAAATCAGCGTCCTTCTCACTGTCAGTGGGTGAAGCCTTCATCAGTAGTTGTGGGGTTTGAGGCACTCATGAACTCATGATCAGACACTTTGCTCAGGGACAGGATGTAAGCCAATCGAAAGACCTTCCCACAGGTGGTTAATTTGGAAGCCTGCCCAATGTGCCCTGCAAGTTTTCACTGGCAATATGCAGGTGCAGATATGACAAGGAATAACCATGGCCTTTACATCACCCCCAGCTGTTGAGGAATGGGATCCTTTTGACCCTTTCTGTCCATAGAACCAGGTTACTCATCTTGTGTGGCAACAAAATATATGGTCTACTTAACAGAGAAGAGGACTCTGTAAAAAAAAAAAAAAAAATGTATTATGAAGTAAGCAAAGAAATGGGAATAGATGTGAGATTATTCGGGGAGATAAAGGAAGTTGAAGGTTTTGAAAGGAAATATAAGGAGGATTATATAAATTGTTTTGAAAGACTCATACTTGGTCATAAGGATCAAAACCAAAGGGGCATCCATGCAATGTTGGATAGATTCATCCTCCACCCACTCAATAACCCCCAACATGTTCAGCAAGTCTTGGTTCACTCCCAGGTTCCCATTAAAAACCCAGCTCAACCCTGACCAGCTCCACCCTCACTTCCATTTGTAATTTTGACATGACTTTATTACAGGACCATCAGGTTCCTATGCCTGCTGCACAGTAGCTTAGCAATATTGTGAGACAGCAGGGTTTGCAGCAGAGAGTTTAATGATCACAGGGTGGCTGAATGAGAAGTTAGGAGGAGATCCTCAAATTCATCACCCCAAGGAGTACTGAGCATTTTCAGTGGATCCTGGATAGCAAGGGACTGGAAAGTTGGGGTAGCGGTAAGAGGGAAGAAGTCAACAGGATCTAGAAACTGCATTCTTTGCGTTAGTGCCTTGCAGGGCCCATTTAGATGAGCTGGCATCAGTAGTTTCACTGACATGCAGAATCTGAAAGAATATGTCAAATGAAAAAAGTTAATGTTTCACAATGCTTAAATTGTTGTCTGCAGGGAAGTTAAGGGGAACTGTAATCTAAGGTCTATATGATTTTGGAACAGTAGGCTGCCAGCAACCATAAGGAACCAGGTCAGAGAGCAAGCTGACCTCCTGATGAATGCTGAATGTGTTGCAAGCTTGGTTTATTTTTGTTTCTCCCCCTCCCTTCTTCACTGATTAAATTGATGAAGTTTATAGTTGTGGTTTCAATTTCTTCCAAAGAAGCCTTAACCTAAGCCCTGAGACCACTCACGCCCTCAGTGGCACCTCTCCTCCACCAGAACGAGCATATAATCTGCTACCTTAGGTTATATAAAATCCCCAAGACCATTCGATAAATTGAGATTTTTATTCTGATTTTGTAGGGATGACTCCTCTGTTTTTATAAAGCTTTTTAAAGTATAAAGCATTTTCATATTTTGATGTGGCCAAAGATCTCCTAACAACACTGCTTTCAGATTTTATTTTTCTGTCTAATGTCGGGAACAGATCAAATCCTTCCCTGCCTCACACTCAAGACTATGAAGTTCACATATTAGTAAAGTTCCATCAGTGTTTGTGGAGTTCATGAATGAATTAATTTTTTTATTGTTTGACAGAATCTCCCTCTGTCACCCAGACTGGAGTGCAGTGGCACAATTTTGGCTCACTGCAACCATTGCCTCCTGGGTTCAAGCAATTCTCCTGCCTCAGCCTCCTGAGTCGCTGTGTTTCAGGCACCTGCCATCATGCCGGGCTAATTTTTGTATTTTTGTATTTTTGTAGAGACAGGGTTTCACCTTTTTGTCCTGGCTGGTCTTGAACCCCTGACATCAGGTGATCTACTCACCTTGTCCTTCCAAAGTGCTGGGATTACAGGTATGAGCCACCTCACCTGGCCTTGAATGAATGTATTCTTGACTTCTACCCTATCCCTAACACTGACAATTTCTTGCTTCATGAACTGAATATAGATATGTGATATGAATGGACATCTGATTCAATCCATTAATCTGGGGAGAGCCAAAAACCCAATCAGGATTAACTGGCTGGAGCTTCAGAAATGCAATCAGATATCACTTTTTGATTGGAAGCTAGCAGCGGATACGTGGAGGGGCGTGGGTGGGAGTTGTGATTAGAAAGGTCAATAAAAGCTTCTAAAGACCCACAGGAGAGACCCAAAGTCTTCAAGCCTGGAGTACCTGCCTGGTTCTTCCTGAGGTCTGAGCACCTTCTAGACTACATCCAGATCTGGTAAGTCACTAATTTCTGTAAGGACACTCCCATCTGACCTACAGTCAGCTGGTCTGGGATGTTGACACTGCAGCCTACGATGGCACAGAAGTGTATCCTGTCTTTTTTTTTTTATATGAACAATTTAAAGCTTGAATGTTTTCTTCTAAATACAGCTCTGTCTTTATTTCAAAAAAGTTGATCGTTCTTTGGTTGATGTCGTTTCAAAATTCTTGAAGGGAGCAGTGACTCATGCCTTTAACCCCAACACTTTGGGAGGCCAAAGTGGGAGGATCATTTCAGCCCAGGGGTTTGAGACCAACCTGGGCAACATGACAGAAACCCTCCTCTACACAACGTTATTTTTTTTGTGAGGACGGGGATGGAGTCTCACTGTGTTGCCCAGACTGGAGTGCAGTGGCACGATCTCAACTCACTGCAACCTTTACCTTCCAGGTTCAAGCAATTCTCATGCCTCAGTCTCCATCCTCAGAAGCTGGTGTCAGCCATCTGCCACCATGCCTGGCTAATTTTTGCATTTTTAGTAGAGCGGGTGTTTCACCATGCTGGCCAGGTTGGTCTCCAACACCTGACCTCAAGTGATCCACCTGCCTTGGCCTCCCAAACTGCTGGGATTAGAGCCGTGAGCCACTGGTGCTCGGCCTCTACTTTTTTTTTTTTTTAATTAGCCGGGCATGGTGGCATGCATCTGTAGTCCCAGCTATTTGGGTGACTGGTGTGGGAGAATCACTTTAGCCCAGAAGATTGAGGCTGCAGTGAGCCATGCTCACACCACTGCTGTACTCCAGCCTGGGCAAAAGAGAGAGACCCTGTCCAAAAAACAAAAACAAAATCTTAACAAAAAAGGATCTTCGACCTTAATTTTAAACCAATCACATCCTCTCGGTAATTCTTCCACCTGAATGGAGACATGGGTGTGGGGTGCATGCCTGTAATCCCAGCTACGTGGAAGCCTGAAGCATGAGAATTGCTTGAATCTCAGAGGCGGAGGTTACAATGAGCTGAGATGGCGCCGCTGCACTCCAGCATGGGGCAAAAAGTTAGACTCAGCTTCCCCCACACCAAAAAAATTAGATTATACCACCCAGGTGATCACTGGATACATGAAGATTTCTATTGTGTTTTCTTGGGGACTGTCATCTCTGTCTTTGTAAAACGTTTTAACTCTGAAATATTTCGATAAATTTGATGTGGCCAAGGATCCCTCAACAAAGGTACTTTCAAGTTTTTTCTTTTCTCTAATGTCAGGAAGAGATTCAACCCTTCCCTCTCTCACACTCAGGACTTTGAAGGACACATATTAGTAAAACTCCATGTTTATGGAGTGAATCACTGAATGAGTCCTGGACTTTCACCCTATCCCTAATTCTTTCACTTCGATGGATGAATATCTAACTCAATCAGTAAATCTGGAAGAAAGCCAAAAATCCAATCAGGATTAACTGGGTAGAGTTTAAGAAGTCAAATCAAATGTACAAATGTAGTTCTCTCTCTCTCTTTTTTCTTTTTTTTTTTTTTTTTTTTTGAATCTTGCCTATTTCCCAGGCTGGAGTGCAGTGGTGTATTGTCAATTCACTGCAACCTCTGCCTCCTGGGTTCAAGCGATCCTCCTGCCTCAACCTCCCTGGTAGCTTGGACTATAGGCACAGACCACCGCACCTGGCTAATTTTTGTAATTTTGGTAGAGGTAGGGTTTTACCATGTCGGCCAGGCTTTTCTCAAACTCCTGACCTCAGATAATCCACCTGCCTCTGCCTCCCAAAGTGCTGGGATTACAGGAGTGAGCCACCTCACCTGGCCTTGAATGAATGTATTCTTGACTTCTACCCTATCCCTAACACTGTCAATTTCTTGCTTCATGAAGTGAATATAGATATGTGATATGAATGGACATCTGATTCAATCCATTAATCTGGGGAGAGCCAAAAACCCAATCAGGATTAACTGGCTGGAGCTTCAGAAATGCAATCAGATATCACTTTTTGATTGGAAGCTAGCAGCGGATACGTGGAGGGGCGTGGGTGGGAGTTGTGACTAGAAACGTCAATAAAAGCTTCTAAAGACCCACAGGAGAGACCCAAAGTCTTCAAGCCTGGAGTTCCTGCCTGGTTCTTCCTGAGGTCTGAGCACCTTCTAAACTACATCCAGATCTGGTAAGTCATTAATTTCTGTAAGGACACTCCCATCTGACCTACAGTCAGCTGGTCTGGGATGGTGACAGTGCAGCCTACGATGGCACAGAGCTATATCCTGTCCTTTTTTTTTTTCATATGAACAATTTGAAGCTTTGAATGTTTTCCTCTAAATACAGTTCTGTCTTTATTTCAAAAAAGTTGATTGTGCTTTGGTTTAGGTCATTTCAAAATTCTTGAAGGGAGCAGTGACTCATGCCTTTAACCCCAACACTTTGGGAGGCCAAAGTGGGAGGATCATTTCAGCCCAGGGGTTTGATACCAACCTGGGCAACATGACAAAAACCCTCCTCTACACAACGTTTTTTTTTTTTTGAGGATGGGGATGGAGTCTCGCTGTGTTGCCCAGACTGGAGTGCAGTGGCACGATCTCAACTCACTGTAACCTTTACCTCCCAGGTTCAAGCAATTCTCATGCATCAGTCTCCATACAGAGAAGCTGGTATAACAGTCATCTGAAACCATGCCTGGCTAATTTTTGTATTTTTAGTAGGGGCGGGGGTTTCACCATGCTGGCCAGTTTGGTCTCAAACGCCTGACCTCAAGTGATCCACCTGCCTTGGCCTCCCAAAATGCTGGGATTAGAGCCATGAGCCACTGGTGCTCGGCCTCTACTTTTTTTTTTTTAATTAGCTAGGCATGGTGGCATGCATCTGTAGCCCCAGCTATTTGGGTGGCTGGTGTGGGAGAATCACTTTAGCCCAGAAGATTGAGGATGCAGTGAGCCATGCTCACACCACTGCTGTACTCCAGCCTGGGCAAAAGAGAGAGACCCTGTCCAAAAAACAAAAGCAACATCTTAACAAAAAAGGATCTTTGACCTTAATTTTAAAGCAATCACATCCTCTTCCACCCAAATGGAGACATGAGTGTGGGGGTGCATGCCTGTAATCCCAGCTACGTGGAAGACTGAAGCATGAGAATTGCTTGAATCTTGGAGGCTGAGGTAACAGTGAGCCGAGATGGCACCACTGCACTCCAGCCTGGGCAACGAAGTGAGACTCAGCTCCCTCAACACCAAGAAGAATTATGCCACCCAGGTAATCACTGGATATATGAAGATTACTATTGTGTTTTCTTAGGAACTGTCATCTCTGTCTTTGTAAAACTGTTTTAACTCTGAAATATTTTGAGAAATTTGATGTGGCCAAGGATCCCTCTACAGATACTTTCAAGTTTTCTTTCTTTCTGTCTAATATCAGGAAGAGATTCAACCCTTCCCTGTCTCACACTCAGGACTGTGAAGGACACATATTAGTAAAACTCCACGTTTGTGGAGTGAATCAGTGAATGAGTCTTGGACTTTCACCCTATCCCTAAATCTTTCATTTTGATGGATGAATATCTAATTCAATCAGTTAATCTGGAAGAAAGCCAAAAATCCAATCAGGATTAACTGGGTAGAGATTAAGAAGTCTAATCAAATGTAGCTCTCTCTGTCTCTCTTTTGAATCTAGCCTATTTCCCAGGCTGGAGTGGAGTGGTATAATGTCAGCTCACCGCAACTTCTGCCTCCTGGGTTCAAGTGATCCTCCTGCCTCAGCCTCCCTAGTAGCTTGGACTACAGGCGCAGACCACTGCACCTGGCTAATTTTTGCTGGCTTAGTAGAGGTAGGGTTTTACCATGTTGGCCAGGCTCGTCTTGAACTCCTGATCTCAGATGATCCACCTGCCTTGGCCTCACAAAATGCTCAGATTACGGGTGAGTCACTGCACCCAGCCAAAGTGGTTGATTTTGAATATGTGCGAGAGGTGTGTATTGGAATCATCTATCTTGCGAATGATGCATAACAGTGTCACATAGCTTTCAAAGCTTCTCACTGAAATATTCGATAATAAGGCTGGAGTGGAGGCTCACAACTATAATCCCGGTACTTTGGGAGGCCAAGGGGGGTGGATTGCTTGAGACTAGGAGTTCAAGACCAGCTTGGACAACATAGTGAAATCCACTGTCTTTACAAAAAGTCAAAACATAAAAGATGAGCTGGGTGTGGTGATGCATAACTGTGGTCCCAGCTACTTGGGAGGCTGAGGAGGCTTGGGAGGCTGGGAAGTCAAGGCTGCAGTGAGCCAAGATCCCACCACTGCACTCCAGGCTGGGTAACAGAGCAAGACCCTGTCAGAAAGAGTGAGGGAGAGAGGGAGGGAGAGAGAGAATGAGAGAAGGGATGCAGGGAAAGAAGACAAGAAAGAAAGAAGGGAGAGAGAGGGGGGAAGAAAGAAAGAAGGGAGGGAGAGAGGGAAAGAAGGAAAGAAGAGAGAGAAAGAGAAGGAAACCTTAAATAAAGAAAAGAAAACAAATAGAACCTGTTCTAGGGATGCCCCATGAATGTTCCCAACAAGCTTATTTGTAGGAACTGAAATTGTGGGCATGTAGGCTTGTGACACTCCCTTTCCCATTGTTTTAGAACCTTGAGTAATTAGTAATTTCCCCCAATGGTCGGAGGGGTTTGCTTTCAGGTTCCTCCACACTCACTAGTCACTGGATGGAGCACTGGATAGAAAGGAAGGGCTAGTTGTGGCCCTGCCTCCTCACTGCTTCGGAGACGCTCATGCTGATGCAGCAGAGGCAGAATGCTGGCTTAATGGCCACTGAGTACTGAGTAGAATTGGAGTAAACTGAGGGCTGTTTCACCATTGCCAAAGCAGTGACTTTGGCCCTGGGAGAAGATGAGATTGCATGGGCTTGTCCTGAGAGTGATGCCTTTTCTCTGGGTTTGTCCTCTGGAAGTTTTCCCTGCAGATTCATGAAGATGAGCATCCGGACTCCACCCAGACTCCTGGAGCTGGCGGGGCGGAGCGTGCTGAGGGACCAAGCCTTGGCCATGTCCACCCTGGAGGAGCTGCCCACAGAACTTTTCCCCCCACTGTTCATGGAGGCCTTCAGCAGGAGACGCTGTGAGGCCCTGAAGCTGATGGTACAGGCCTGGCCCTTCCGCCGCCTCCCTCTGAGGCCTCTGATAAAGATGCCTTGTCTGGAGACCTTCCAAGCTGTGCTCAATGGGCTTGATGCACTGCTTACCCACGGGGTTCGTCCCAGGTGAGGTGGGCCAGGTGGGCTGGTGGGGAGGGCCCAGGTGTCCAACCGAAGGAACAGCTGGGTCATGAGAAGTGAGGAGGCCCAAGGGGCGATGGTGGTGGTGAGGAAGCTGAGAGGCCTTGGCCATTCACCAGCTCCTCAGGGAAAGCACTGCTGACCATGCCAGGTCCATGGAGGTAACAGGAACCTCTCCCCTAATGGCACTGAAAGCCAGCATGAAAAGTGAGAACTGGGCCGGGCACGGTGGCTCACAATGTATTCCCAGCACATTGGGAGGCCGAGGTCAAGAGTTGGAGGCCAGCCTGTCCAACATGGTAAACCCCAACTCTACTAAAAATACTAAAATTAGCTGGGCATGGTGCTGGGCTCCTGTAATCCCAGCTACTTGCAAGGTTGAGGCAGGAGAATCCTTTGAACCGGGGAAGCAGAGGTTGCAGTGAGGTGACATCACACCACTGCACTCCAGCCTGGGTGACAGAAGGAGACTTGGTCTCAAAAAAAAAAAAAAAAAAAAAAATGTGAAAGTGGGCAGGATCCAAGGGGAAAACAGGGTGGAGAAATGTCAGAGACAGGGACAAGAAGCAGGGAGGGGAGGAGCTGCTATCCAGGATGTGGAGTTTAAGTTCAGAAATGAGTTCTGAAATTCTCAGTCTCACCTCTATTTTCCCACAGGAGGTGGAAACTTCAAGTGCTGGATTTACAGGATGTCTGTGAGAACTTCTGGATGGTTTGGTCTGAAGCTATGGCCCGTGGGTGCTTCCTCAATGCCAAGAGGAACAAAAAACCAGTGCAGGACTGTCCAAGGATGAGAGGACGGCAGCCCTTGACTGTGTTCGTAGAACTTTGGCTCAAGAACAGGACTCTGGATGAACACCTCACCTGCCTCCTTCTATGGGTCAAGCAGAGGAAAGATTTACTACACCTGTGCTGTAAGAAGCTGAAAATTTTGGGAATGCCCTTCCGCAATATCAGAAGCATCCTGAAAATGGTGAACCTAGACTGTATCCAGGAGGTGGAAGTGAATTGCAAGTGGGTACTGCCCATCCTGACACAGTTTACCCCATACCTGGGCCACATGAGGAATCTTCAGAAGCTCGTTCTCTCCCACATGGATGTCTCTCGCTACGTTTCCCCAGAGCAGAAGAAGGAGATTGTTACCCAGTTCACCACTCAGTTCCTCAAGCTGCACTGCCTCCAAAAGCTTTATATGAACTCTGTTTCTTTCCTCGAAGGCCACCTGGACCAGCTGCTCAGGTGAGGGAGGGTGGTGAGCTTTCTCTGCAGACCACAGCAGAGCCTGTTTCACTAAACGCTAGTGGGCATCTACTGTGAGCCAGCCTATGAGGATGAAACAGTGAAGGGGACACTAGAATGTCCATACATTGTCCTGTTGGCGGCCCTGTCCTGAAATGGGTATCATGCAACCATCCCAATAGAGGCAGAGGGATCAGCTAGGGGAGATGCTATAGAGAGGTTGCCATACTAGGAAGCTAGCTACTGGGGGGTTCAGATCTAGTGAGGGTGCCTTTCTGAATTCTTCCTGAGGACGTGTGTCTAAGTTAAGATGATGAAAAATAGGCCAGGGACGGTGGCTCATGCCTGTAATCCTATCACTTTGGGAGTCTGAGGCAAGAGGATAGCTTGAGCCTAGGAGTTTAAGACCAGTCTGGGTAACATCCCAAGACCCCTGTCAGAAATGAAGAAATAAAAGTAAAAACAAACAAGATAACTTTTTTTTTTTCTGAGATGGATTTTCACTATGATCGTCCAGGCTAGAGTGCAGTTGTGACATCTCAGCTCGCAGCAACTTCTGCCTCCCAGGTTCAAGCGATTCTCCTGCCTCAGCCTCCTCAGTGCCTGGGATTACAGGCGTGGGCCACCACACCTGGCTAATTTTTATATTTTAAGTAGAGACAGGGTTTCACCATGTTGGCCAGGATATTCTCCAACTCCTGACTTCAGGTGATCCGCCCACCTTGGACTCCCAAAGTGCTGGGATTATAGGCGAGAGCTACCACGCCCAGCCAACAAGATAATTTTTAAGAAGATGATGGGAAGTAGGGAAGTGAAGTGGTCACTGAAGAGGGGAATGCTCAGCAAATCTGCACATGTCAGAAAATCAGCTTTGTGCCCCACAGTTCCGTGAACATGAATGATCCCATCTCTAATTCCCTGTTGTAAAAGTTTCTTTTGAGCTCCAGGTAAATTAATTACCTAGGAAATGTATGATTCTGAAACAGAGGGTCAGGGAGCAGGCACAAAGAATGGTGAAAGTGATAGATGGTTTGCTGATGATACAGGCGTGTCAGGGACGCCTGCAGCCCGCCCACCCCAGCTGATGTTGCAGGATCCTGTCTGGGTTTGTCCTTTATGCCTGCATCTCCACTGGGCTTCTGTGGCCCAGGGATGTGGTTTTCTGCCTGACAGATGAGGAAAGGGAGCTTTAGGGATTCTGTGAACTTGATCCATTCCTATAAATGATGGTGAAATGACTCAGCCTCAAATGGAATTATTTTTTCTCCTTTTTTTTTTTTAATGCGGAGTCTCTCTCTGTCACCCAGGCTGGAGTGTAGTGGCATGATCTCTGCTCACTGCAACCTACACCTCCTGGGTTCAAGCGATTCTTCTGCCTCAGCTTCCCAAGTAGCTGGAATTGCAGGCTCCCGCCACCACAGCTGGCTAATTTTTGGATTTTTAGTAGAGAGGAGGTTTTGCCATGTTCAGCAGGCTGGTCTCAAACTCCTGATCTCAAGGAATCCACCAGTCTCAGCCTCCCAAAGTTCTGGGATTACAGGTGTGAGTTACTGGGCCGGGCCTAAAGTGGAATTGACCTCGGTGGCAAAGCTCTTCATCACACATCATCCGAAGTGTTGACCATCCGGCCATGAGAATGATCCTGGACTTGGGCAAAATGGTCTCCATCCATTACCTTGAAGCCATTCCCCACCACCCTCCACTCACCCCTATGATTCCCCAGAATTAACTTCTTGCTCTCTCTCCCCAGCTGTCTGAAGACCTCGTTAAAGGTCCTCACAATAACTAACTGTGTGCTTTTGGAATCAGACTTGAAGCATCTATCCCAGTGCCCGAGTATCAGTCAACTAAAGACCCTGGACCTGAGTGGCATCAGACTGACCAATTACAGTCTTGTGCCTCTCCAAATTCTCCTAGAAAAAGTTGCAGCCACCCTTGAGTACCTGGATTTAGATGACTGTGGCATCATAGACTCCCAAGTCAACGCCATCCTGCCTGCCCTGAGCCGCTGCTTTGAGCTCAACACCTTCAGCTTCTGTGGAAATCCCATCTCCATGGCCACCCTGGAGAACCTGCTGAGCCACACAATCATACTCAAAAACTTATGCCTGGAGCTGTATCCTGCCCCACGGGAGAGTTATGGTGCTGATGGTACTCTCTGCTGGAGCAGATTTACTCAGATTAGGGCTGAGCTGATGAAGAGAGTTAGGGACTTAAGGCACCCCAAGAGGATCTTGTTCGGTACTGACTACTGCCCTGACTGTGGCAACAGGTCATTTTATGACCTGGAGGCAGATCAATACTGCTGTTGAATGCCTGCCTATTTGGATGGGTATGTCAAACGCTTTCTTCTGGACACTTGGAAACTAAAACCTAGGTCTTAGGTACATCCTAAAGGGAGCACAGAACCCATCGTTTCACACATGGGCTCTGAAAGTGGGAAAGGAATGCTGATCAAGCAGGGGCAGGACTTGGGGGAAATGTTGCCATGGATTCGATGGGACTTTGGGAACGTGTATCCTGTAGAGTCGAAAATGGGAATCTGAATGTCTAGAGTGGAATTCAGGCTTGAGAATACATGAGGGAGTTACTCTTGCATGGATGGTTGTAAAGAAACAATCAGAAATAAAGGAAAACTGAGCAGAATCTGTCTGGTGCCCTCTATTATTAAGTAACCTGTTTTCCAGTTTAAGCCTCAGGAATCTTCAGTTATTGATGGAAAAAACAAAAGGCACTGACTGAGTTGTCCAATCAATAAGATGCAGCCCAAGAAAATCAAGGCATTTAAATGAAATTTGGTTATTGTAATCAGTTTCCTCCCATTCTTTTATTGGAGACAGAGTTTCACTCTTGTTGCCCAGGCTGGAGTTTAGAGTGCAATGGTGCCATCTCAGCTGACTGCAACCTCCACCTGGGGTTTAAATGATTCTCCTGCCTCAGCCTCCCAAGTAGCTGGGATTACTGGCATGCACCACCGTGCCCAGCTAATTTGTGTATGTTTAGTAGAGACAGGGTTTCCTCACTATGTTGGTCAGGCTGGTCTCAAACTCCTGACTTTGGGTGATTCATGCAAGTAGGCCTACCAAAATGCTGGGATTACAGGTGTGAGCCACTGTGTCAGGCTTTTGCTTTTGTTTTTGTTTTTTAAAGGTCTTCTGTCACTCAGGCTACAGTGCAGTGGCACAATCATACCTCACTGCAGCCTCAATTTCCTGGGTTCAGGCGATCTTCCCACCTCAGCCTCCTGAGTAGCTAGGACTACAGCTGTGTGAGCCACCACACCTGGATACTTTTTTTTAGTAGAAACAAGGCCTCGCTGTCTTCCCCAGGCTGATCTGGAACTCCTGAGCTTGTGATTCTCCTGCCTTGGCCTCCCAAAATGCAGGGAGTATAGGCGTGGACCACCACGCTTGGCTTGGCCTCCTCCAGTTCTTCACTTCTTTAGATGTCTGTTAAATCCTTGTTAGTTTCTGTGGCTGTTCAGTGGGTTAATACACACCAGGTGGACACCAAAGGCCTGGAACATTACTGGGCAAGAACAGTGAGCCAATCCACACGGAAAGCACCTTCTTCTCAGGGTCTTTCACCGCTAGCCAGATGCTGAGACCCTGCCCACTCCCTGTGAGTCTCCACATGCTTCCAGAAGCCTTAGTTGGTGGATGTCAGCTGCACTGCACAAGGACCCACTCTCTTCTCGCTGCCCTGGAAGGGTATGTCCATATTGTGTATTAGCTGGAGACTCTGGGCAGCACCAAACCTTGCTTGTTCCCCTGATGACCAGCAGCCCTTCTTGAATTAAACTGGTTGTAGCCAGTAAAGACAGCCACATTCCCTTTAAGTAAAATACTAAAACTATACAGGCATGTAACACTTTTTAAATATTTCCATCTGACATTTTAAAAGTTACATCTTTTTGGGGAGCTAGGTCAGATTGATGAGAGATTTTCTCATAACACTTTCCCTCTCTCCCTATGAAGGAAGAGACTAGTGCAGCGTGTTCTGGAATCTGACAGCATCAAAGGGTGGATAACGATCAAGGGCCTGTGGGTGATGAGTGACCTTCCCTGTGCTGAGGAAGCCTGCATAGCGGGCATCCAAGTGAAGGATCCTGCTGAGTACTCAGGGGCTGGTGTTGCTGTCAGGGATGTTAGCCAAGAGCCTCAGCTTCCTGTAAAATGAGGATGATGATGTCCAACAGCTTATGGGACCTAGGTAGGATCCAATGAGATGGTTCATGTTTAGGGCTTGGCATGGGGTCTGGCATACAGTAAGATCAATACATCTTGTTCTTTTTTCTCTTCTCAGCAGAAGTCCCAGCATTTTTCATCTTTCAATCTCACCTCCTTTTCCTGATAATAGAGAGGCAACAAGAACTCAGGGCATGCAATGGGGCTCAACTTCTACTCTCTGCCACAATTTCATCATGATTCCCCCAAAGAGCAGAGCCCCAGGAGCCAGCAGGGGGCAGGGTGGGCATTTCTGGACTGGATTCATTCATAATAAGATCAAAATTTCCAATCCGTATGTCTCGGGTGCCATCTGCTGATAGATCCGACCAGATGGTATAATTGAGTGTTGCAAGGATTATATTTTATGGTGTTTTTAAAAATGTACTATTATGAGCCAGGTGCAGTGGCTCACGCCTGTAATTCCAGCACTTTGGGAGGCTGAGGCAGGTGGATCACCTGAGGTTGGGAGTTTGAGACCAGCCTGAGCAACATGAAGAAACCCCTTCTCTACTTAAAATACAAAAAATTAGCCAGGCGTGGTGGCGCACGTCTGTAATTGCAGCTACTCGATAGGCTGAGGCGGGAGAATCGTTTGAACCTGGGAGGTGGAGGTTGCGGTGAGCTCAGACTGAGCCATTGCACTCCAGCCTGGGCAACAGTAGCAAAAGTCCGTCTCAAAAAAAAAAAGATAAAATAAAATTTATTATTATGGCCGGGCATGGTGTCTCACACTTCTAATCCCAGCACTTTGGGAGGCCAAGGCAGCCTCGGGATTTTGAGACCAGCCTTGCCAACATGGTGAAACCCCGTCTCTACTAAAAATACACAAAATTTGCTGGGAGTGGTGGCATTCGCCTGTAATCCCAGGTATTCAGGAGGCTGGGGCAGGACAATCACTTGAACCCGGGAGGCGAAGGTTGCAATGAGACAAGATCGCGCCACTGCACTCCAGCCTGGGTGACAGAGCATGAAAAAAAATTTACTATAATGTGAATACTATTAGAGTACAAATATTTGTGTTGTAATTTATGTACATGAAAGATTAGAACTTTTAAAGAATGCAACGTGATATGTTAAGAATGGTTAATGGCCAGGTGTGGTGGTTCATGCCTGTATTCCTGGCACTTTGGGAGGCCGAGGTGGGCAGATCACGAGGTCAGGAGTTCCAGACCAGCCTGGCCAACATGATGAAACCCCGTCTCTACGAAAAATACAAAAAATTAGCCTGGCGTGGTGACAGGCGCCTGTAATCCCAGATAGTCAGGAGGCTGAGGCAAGAGAATCGCTTGAACCTGGGAGGCAAAGGTTGCAGTGAGCCGAGAATGCACCACTGCACTCCAGCCTGGGTGAAAGAGGAAGACTCCGTCTCAAGGAGGGTGAGAAAAAGAATACTTAACTTGGTTTGAAATGTCAAAACAAATGAGATTTTAAAAACTAATTTTAAAGACACTGAACAATAATCATTTCTTCTTTAAAATATATTTAGAATAATACAATTTTAGCTTTGAAAGGAAACATTACAGTTTTTAAAAATATTGAGTTTATTTTATTTTATTTTATTTTATTTGGAGACAAAGTCTCACTCTGTCGTCCAGATTGGAGTGCAGTGGCATGATCACGGCTTACTGCAGCCTTGACCTCCTAGGCTCAGGTGATCTCCCTGCCTCAGTCCCCCTAGTAGCTGGAACAACAGGCATGCACCATCATGCCTGGCTTATTTTTGTATTCTTAGTGAAGACCAGGCTTCACCACGTTGCCCAGACTGGTCTTGAAATTCTGGGCTCAAGCGATCCACCTGCCTCGGCCTCCTAAATTGCTGGGAGTGAGCTCTTATAGGTATGAGCCACCGCACCCAGCCTTGAGTTTATTTATTTATTTATTTTGGAGATGGAGTCTCACTCTTTCACCCAGGCTGGAGTGCAGTGGTACGATCTCAGCTCACTGCAACCTCTGCCTCCAGGGTTCAAACAATTCTCCTGTCTCAGCCTCCAGAGTAGCTGGGATTACAGGCATGCACCACCACACCTGATTAATTTTTGTATTATTATTATTATTATTTTTTAGTAGAGACAGGGTTTTGTCATTTTAGCCAGGCTGGTCTCGAACCCCTGACCTCAGGTGATCCACCCGCCTCGGCTTCCCAAAATGCTACGACTATAGATGTGAGCCACCACGCCCAGCCTATTTTTTTCTTTATAGCAGTTTTAGATTCACAGAAAAACTAAGCAGAAACTGCAGAGTTCTCATCTACCTTCTTCCCCCTTCAATACACAGCACCCCCACAGGATCAGCACCCACACCAGCACAGAGCATTCGTCACAACCAATGAGCCACAGGGACACATCATTATCACCCAATGTCCATAGTTCACATGAAGGATCATTGCTGGTTTTGTATATTCTATGGATTTTAACAAAGGGATAATGACATGTATCCACCATTAGAGCATCATGGAGAGTAGTTTTGTTTCCTTAAAAGTCCTCTGTCCTCTTTCCATTCATCCCATTGTACTCCAAATCCCTTGCAACCACTGGGTTTTCTACCATCTCCATAGAAAAAGGCAGAAGGCTCTTCTGGAATGTCTAACAGGATGAGTCTTTTCACATTGCCTTCTTTCACTTGTACAATAACGTGCATTTAGGAATCTTTCATGTCTTTTTATGGCTTCGTAATAGTTCACTGACCAGATGGATCACAGTTTCTTTATCCAGTCACCCACTGAAGGGCATCTTTCTTGCTTCCAAGTTTTGGCGATTATGAATAAAGCTGCTATAAACATCCAGGTGTGGGTTTACTCCCTTCGTTAAATACCTGGGAGCATGATGACTGAATCGTAGGGGTATGGTATGTTTTACAAGGATTTTTTCTTTCTTGACAATCTCACTTGTTCGATATTGCTGCTAAAGGTCAGGAACTTTGTCTCGCTCATCCTGTGGTCCCACTGCTGAGCATGGAACGTGGCACTTGGTAGCAAATGCTGTTGACCACATGATGCATGGAAATGCTTATCATCAGTATAGCCACTAAATTGCTAACGTGGGGACGTCAACAGTAGCTCACTACCAATAATACAAATAAGTTGGATTATGGAAAAAATAGCCCTTGTGATACTGTGGATACTCCATGTGTATCATGAAAGTACAGCAATTGGCCAGGTGCAGTGGCTCACATCTGTAATCCCAGCATCTGGGAGGCCGAAGTGGGTGGGTCACTTTAGGTCGGAAGTTTGAGACAAGCATGGCCAACATGATTGAAATCCTGTCTCTATTAAAAATACAAAAATTGACTGGGCGTGGTGGTGCATAGGTGTAGTCCCCACTACTGGGGAGACTGAGGGAGGAGAATTGCTTGAACGCAGGAGGTGGAGGTTGCAGTGATCGAAGATCATGCCATTGCACCCCAGCCTAGGCAACAGAGTGAGATACCGTATCAAAAAAAGAAAAAGAAAGAAAGAAAGAGAGAGAGAGAGAGAGAGAGAAAGAAAGAAAGAAAAACAAAATGAAACAAAACAAGAAAGTCCAGCATGGTAGGAGGTACATAGAGGTACATGAGGGCGAGCTTCATTTGTTTTTCATCATTTTTCCCTTCTCTGGACAGTATTCTGAATGCAAAACATTCCAAAACCACAGAGCAAACATCTCCTATAATCTTCCCCTTATCCCAGACTTCTCTTCACAGTGTATGTGCTAGTGTCTTCCAGACTTTTGTATGACTTGCTATACAGAAGATCAGATCAAATGGGCATGTCCCTAAAAAGTGGTGACTTGCCAGTTCTGGACTCACTTTGCAGGGTGCCGGGACCTCTGTGAGAATCAAGCAGTAGCTCCAGGAGCCAGGGCTTTGGGTCTCTTCTGTGCACCTTCAGGAGCTTTTATTGACCTTTCTCACTACAACCCCCTTCTTGACTACCAACTTCCAATTCGAAAACGACATCCAACTGGATCGTGAACTTCCACCCAGTTAACCCTGATTGAGTTTTCAATTTTCTTCTCATGAAGTGATTAAATTAGATAGGCATTTATGAAAGTGAAAGAAGTAATAACAGGATGAAGGTCTAAAACTCATTTATTCACTTATTCCACAAACACTGGTAAAGTTTGACTAATATGTGACCTTCATAGTGATACAGGGAAGGATTTAATCTGTTTCTGACATTAGAATATATATATATCTTTATTGGAGAATCTTTGGCCACATCAAAAGTATCAAAACATTTCAGCATTAAAGCAGCTTTAAGAAGACAGGGATGTCATCCCTAAAAAACACAATAAAAATCTCTGTGTATCCACTGGGCACCTGGGTTTTATGCTACCTAACATGGTAGATCATATGCCCATTCAGGTGGAAGACAGGAACTACTGAGGGTGTAATTTTTCTCAAGGTTAAGGTCAAGGTTTCACTGAAAGAAATCAGGCCTACATTACAAAGTAAGGTGAGGGCTGGGCTGGATGGGACTAAGTGTTCTAATGGGACCCTAGGAGGGAACCAAGACAACATAAAACATGGCAGGTATTTTGTGGGCATCTGGACAAAAGGATTGAAAGACTTTTTTTTTTTTTAGATTGGGTGTCACCCAGGGTGGTGTGCAGTGTTGCAATCTTGACCTACTGCAACCTCTGCCTCCCAGGCTCAAGCAATCATCCCCTCTCAGCCTTCTGAGTAGCTGGAACTTCCAGCATGTGGCAGCATACCTGGCTAATATTTTGTATTTCATGCAGAGAAAAGATTTTACCACATTTCCTGGGCTAGTCTCAGAATTCCTGGACTCAAGTGAACCATGGTGCCCAGCAATGTTATTGTGATTTTAAATGACAGATTTTGCTTTGTTTTTAAGAAAACCACAGAGATATTCCATATGCTATTTTCTTTTCTTTTTTTTTTTTAATTTTGAAATGAAGTCTCACTCTGTCACTCAGGCTGGGGTGCAATGGCATGATCTCAGCTCACTGCAACCTCCACCTCCCAAATTCAAGTGATTCTTCTGCCTCAGCCTCCTGCGTAGCTGAGATTACAGGTGCGAGCCAACACACCCAGCTAATTTTTGTATTTTTAGTAGGGTTGGGGTTTCACCATATTGGCCTCACTGGTCACGAACTCCTAACCTCAGATGATCCACCTGCCTTGGCCTCCCAAAGTGCTGGGATTACAGGCATGAACCACCATGCCCCATCATATATGCTATTTTCTATTAATTTTTTTAATAGTGATGGGGTCTTGCTTTACTACGTAGTCTGGTCTTGAGGCAGAAATTTAAACACAATAATAACAATAAATACTACATTCATTTACTCCAAGAAAAGTTACAGACAAAGCTATAAGAAGGTCATAGTGACCTAGTCTGAGAAGTAAAAGCCAAGGCCCAGAATGTGTCAGGCAAAGGTAAAACAAACAAACAAACAAACAAAAAACAAGTTTTCCTCTGCCTAGCAAGCTCATTTCAAGGACAGTTATAAGATAATGCTGTTGGAGAAGTTGAAAGAAAGGAATAGGCTCCAGACACCCACTGCTCCAGAGCAAGGGTGATTAAAAAAAAGAAAGAAAAATGGCAAATGTCTGTATTTAGCCAGTTCTTCTTTTTTCTTTTGATGCAGCTACAAGGCCACCAGCTATGCAAGGCCACAGTTATGTAATAGATTACATTACCTGTCATTGTATGATTAACTGCCATTGTTTTGCTTCTGTAAGCCTGCTTATAAAAATCCTGCTCAGTCTTTGTTCAATGCTCAGCTTTTTGGATATGAATCCACTGAGCCAGTGTGTACCTTAAAAAAAAAAATCCTCCTGTTTTCCCATATCAGTCTCTCTGGTCCTCAGTTTCTCAGAACTTTTTGGTGAGCCAGACAGGAGGAGTGGAGATGACAGGTTTACTTTCTCCTTTTCTTGTGGGGCTGGAGCCCAGGGTCAAGGGAAAGAAACCTGTGACCCCAGGCGCTGCTGGAAGAACTTCAGCCCAGAGGGGAGATCGGCTCTCCTGTGACCTGGTGCCCCCACCCAGCAGCACAACAGAACCTGAGGGGCTACAGGATGATTCCAGGAGCAGTGTGATTTCTTCAGGACTGCAGTAAAGTTTTGGGACCAAAGACAGGATCCGTCCCATAAGGACGGAAGGGGAGCCTGATCACCTCCAAGGGTGTAACTAGTAATCTGACCCAGAGAGGCTGGAGGTGGTGACAGAGGCTCGCCAATTCAGATGAATCTCACACCCTACCTGGCACACAATGCAAGAGTGGCTCCCCAAGTCGGTTAGGAAAAGAAAACTGGAGGTGGTGAGAGTGGCTCACAACCCCAATTAGGAACACACGAACTGGGAGTGGGGAGGTGTGTGAAAGTGTGTGAAAGATACAGTTCAGGGAGGAACCAATGTGGGAGTGGCATGGGGAGTCACAGATCTCTTAGCATGGTCTGTGTGCTCCAAGCCAAGTGTGGGGCCAACCTGCACTAGTGGCGAACCGCATACAGCTAATAGGAGCTGCCCCACATCTCAGAGTTATGGTGGGAATAAAACCCTTTCTTAAGCCAAGTGGCATCTGAAAACTCCCATAATAGGAGATGATCTGGTGGGTCTGAGGCAAAAGGAAGAGTGGGTGTGCTGCATCGTAAAGCGAGGAAATAGGAGGAAAGTCATCAAAACACACTCCATTGGGTGCATGTTAGAGAACTTTAATAAAGGTTTTGCAGGAGATTATGGAGTTACGCTAACCTCCTAGAGGTTGAGAACTCTCTGTGAATTCAAATGGCCTTCTTTTGGTGTTGGATGGCCAACCAAAGGAACTATAGATAGGGAAATAATTGACCGTGTATTTAAGGTGGTGACAGGGGTTGGAGGACAGCCTGGGCACCCAGATCAATTTCCTTATATTGACTTATGGTTAAATATAGCACAGACAAGACCAGCATGGTCCAGCTCTGTTTAGCCAGTTAGTGCAAAACACTTGTGGCCAGAGCCGTGCCAAAAATGAAAGTAAGAACAGCTTCACCGGCAGACACAGAGTTAAAGGCAAAGTCCCAGAGGGAGCAAAAAAGCCAGTTTTGCAGGATCCACCAGAGGGAATAGAGATTCCTACTCCATATGTCCCAGCCTAGCCTTCTTTACCGAGGCCAACAGTCCCCCAGGAACCAGATTCAGGAGCTAGCACACCCAAAGTCTCACCCCAAAGGAAGGATCAGAGGCTTGAGAGGCCAGGGAAGGAAGTCAAGATGGTTAAGCCGGCCATCTCAGATCTAGCCATGCTTGAGTTATGCAAATGCATCTCAGGGAGATGGGAGGACCCATTTATTATGATGACCAAGGCCAAGTCAGGTGGGGGGAATGGACTTTCATCTATCATCCCTTTTCAACCATTGATCTCTTGAACTGGAAACACCATACTCCCTCCTATATGGCAAAGCCCCAAGCTCTTATAGATCTGATGCAATCCATCTTTCTGACACACAATCCAACCTGGCCAGACTGCAGGCAGTTTTTTCTCCCACTGTTTAACACTGAGGAGTGTCGGAGAGTAACACAGGCAACTCTCTGCTGGCTAGAAGCCCGCTGTTCTCTCTCTACACTTTGTCTCTGTGTCTTATTTCTTTTCTCAGTCTCTCACCCCACTTGATGAGGTATACCCACAGGTGTGGAGGGGCTGGCCCCCTTCCTTTAGGGGCAGCAGGATTCTGCCACATCTGGATTCCAAATTTTTCAGTGATGGCTAAGACATTATATGAAGCCACAAAATCGGAGAAAAAGAGCCCCTCCTTTGGGAAACTAATCAGGAAATAGCATTCAAACAGCTCAAGGAAGCTTTAGGTCAGGCCCAACCTTAGGACTACCAGATATAATTAAGCCTCTCTTTCTATGTATTCATGAATGAAAAGGAATGGTTATAGGGGTTCTGACTCAAATTATAGCATCATGGCATTGCCCAGTGGCGTATTTATACAAACAACTGGACTCTGTGGTGCTAGGATGGTCTCCTTGCCTTAAGGCATTAGCTGCCACCATCTTGTTAACACAAGAAGCTAGCAAATTAACTCTGGGACAGCAGCTAACTGTGCGGGTGCCACACTCAGTTATAACTTTGATGGACCAAAGAGGGCATCTTTGGTTATCAAACCCAAAAATGACTCAGGTCTTCCTTGTGAGAACCCTTACATTATTTTAGAAACAGTGAACACCTTAAACCTGGCTCCTCTGCTCCCAGTCTAACCGGGGGCTCCCCTCCATGACTGTGTTGCAACAGTAGATGAGGTGTTCTCCAGTCGGAAAGATCTTGCAGACAGACCTCAGAGACCCGGCTTTTGAATACTTCACAGATGGAAGTAGTTTTGTGCTAGAAGGGGTTCAAGATGCCAGGTATGCAGTAATAACATTGGACTTAGTAGTAGATGCTCTGCCTCTGCCTACTGGAACATGAGCTCAAAAGGCAGAATTAATAGCCCTGACAAGAGCACTGTTTCTAGCAAAAGAGAAGAAGGTCAATATTTACACTGATTCTAAGTATGCTTTTACTACATTGCATGTACATGAAGTTATAGACAAAGAGAAAGGGCTTTTAACAGCTGGAGGCAAAGAAATCAAGTACAAAGAAGAGATTCTACAGCTCTTAGAGGCTGTATGGCCTCCAGGAAAAGTAGCTTTAATGCACTGCAGATGGCACCAAAAGTCAGGGACACCAAAAACCAAAAGAAACAGAAAGGCAGACAGAGAGGCAAAGAGGGGAGCAATGATTGCATCACATTTTAAAGAGGAAGCCTTAGCTATGCTTCTCCTCCCAGAAGCTCCTCTCCAAGAAGATCCAAGTTCTACTCCAAATGAAAGAGCCTGGTTTGCTCAAGAAGCTGGAAAATATATTAAAGGAGGGTGGTGGAAATTCTTCAATGGGACATTAGCCATTCCAGAAATGTTAGCTCCTACGTTTCTGAAGCAAATTTATCTAGGAACTCATATGGGAAAAAATGGCACTGGAAACATTACTGAAATGCTGTTTCTATGTGCCGTGGCCATCATTTGAGCTGTTTGTAAACAATGTTTAACCTGTGCTCAGAACAACCCGTGACAGGGGCCCACTCAACCCCCAAGAATTCAGGAAGTAGGAACCATGCCTTGTGAAAACTTTCTTGTAGACTTTACCAAACTACCCCATGCCGGAGGCTATCAGTATATGCTGGTGCTTATTTACACCTTTTCAGGATGGGTTGAAGCTTTCCCCACCAGAACAGAAAAAGCATGAGAAGTGACTAAAGTACTGCTAAGAGACATCATCCCCAGGCTTGGACTGCCTCTAACTTTAGGGTCCGTTAATTGCACGGCATTTGTAGCTGAAATAGTGCAAGATTTAACAAGACTGTTAAAAATAAAATGGAAGTTACACACAGCCTATCAGCCGCAAAGTTCAGAAAAAGTGGAATGCATGAACCAGACACTCAAGGAGCTTCTGAAGAAATATTTCCAGGAAACCTATCTGAGATGGGATCAGGTCTTGCCTATGGTCCTCCTCTGAGTCAGGTGCACCCTCACCAAACAAACTGGGTATTTGCCCTATGAGATTTTGTTCAGTCAGCCTCCCCCAATCATAAGTCAAATTAAAGGTTATCTCCTTGAACTAAGAGAATTAACCTTAAGAAAGCAAATGCAGGCATTAGGGACAGACTTGCAAAGTGTCCATGGGTGGGTACAGGAAAGAATGCCTGTAAGCCTGACAGACCAGACACACCCCTTTAAACCTAGTGACTCTGAGTTAAAAAGTTGAATTAAATTCTCTAGGACCCATATGGGATGGGCCCTATACTGTAACCTTTTTTTTTTTTTTTTTTTTTTTTTTTGTTGATGCAGAGTCTTGCTCTGTCCCCCAGGCTGGAGTGCAGTGGTATGATCTCAGCTCACTGCAAGCTCTGCCTCCTGGGGGTCGCACCATTCTCTTGCCTCAGCCTCCCAGGTAGCTGGGACTACAGGTGCCCGCCACCATGCGTGGGTAATTTTTGTATTTTTTTTTTTAATAGAGATGAGGTTTCACCGTGTTAGCCAGGATGCTCTCCATCTCCCAACCTCGTGATCCACCCGCCTCGGGCTCTGAAAGTGCTGGGATTACAGGCATGAGCCAACACACCCAGCCCTATACTGTAATCTTGTGTACTCCCTCTGCTGTTAAAGTTGCAGGTGTTGTGCCTTGGATCCACCACAGCTGGCTGAAACCGAAGCTCAGGACAAGTGGACCAGCCAGCAGGACCCAGATCACCCACCTGATCCTGAGATGAGACACAGCTGATCCTGAGATGAGACCAAGCTGATGCTAAAGATGACTGCCCTGCTCTGGTCACTCCAGAAGCTGACCAGTCTACGTACAGCTGAAGGTTGAGGAGACAACAAGCCCTGCTCTAGTCACACACTGGAAGCTGACTAGTCTACGCACGGCCGAAGCTTGAGGACTCATCAAGCAAATAAACATAGTTAGAAATCTTAGGACTAGTAGTTTTCCTTGTAATACTGTTTTCCTATTGTTCACTGAAACCTCTGCTTCCTCAGTTCAAGCAATTCTCCTGCCTCAGCCTCCCAAGTAGCTGGGACTACAGGCACAACACCACACCCAGCTAATTTTTCTATTTTTACTAGAGATGAGGTTTCACCATATTGGCCAGGCTGGTCTCAAATTCCTAACCTCATGATCCACATGCCTCAGCCTCCCAAAGTCCTGGGATTACAGGTGTGAGCCACTGCGCCCAGCTGTCCTGCTTCTTTCTCAGTGGGGATCTGCTCCCCACACATTCTCCTCTGTGTTCCTCAGACCACGAATATCTCTGAGGTCCATCAGTGTGAGGTCTCTTGCAGGTGCCATTCCTTCCTTTCTCTCAGGACTTTTTTTATTGGTGTGTCTCTGTGCCATAAGGAATGTGTGCCTGTGAAGAACAGGCTAGACTCTGCAGCAGGACACAGAGGCCCTGGAGAGGCAGACAGTGGAGCAAGCAGGGGCTGAAGTTACCTCGTTTTTACCCAAAGGAGGCTCCTAACCACTGTCGCCACTGACACAGTGGCTCCAATAAAAAGAAAATAGGGGATGACTCCACACATTTCCTTGAGCAGCTAGAAAAAAAAATCCCTGTTGATATTCATATTAGTACAGTACTTTTGGTAGTGTTAGCACTTGTATTAGTAGTAGTACTAGTATTAGTGTCAATACCTACATTAGTATTAGTAGTGGTCTTGTTTAGCTGATGAAAGCTTGTTTCTCTCTCCTTCTGGGATAAAAACTCAAGACACCCTGGGGATCTCGAGTGCATGGACCAGGGAGTCTGAAGGAGTTTGTTCTTTGGATGTGAACCCATGGGAAGTGGGTGTGTATTCTGTGGCCAAAGTCGCTGACCTCTTTGATTAGAGGAGACACAGGGGGCTAGCACCCACCCCCAGGCCTGTGCTTCCAGGAACACTTCTCTCTCTTTCCATGTGTGTGCCTGAGAGGGTTCCTGGTCCTCACCCATCCCCATTGGCTCTTCTACAGGTGATGTGTCTACTGTACACCTACAGGTGACCTTGTGTAGAAAGAAATCCAAGAACACACATGGGGCCACATAGAGTGAGACTGCCTCCAGGCAGGCACAGGGACCCCGAGCTTCTGAGGCACTGTGAGCGCCTGAGACTGGGGCACTCTCATGGAGACAAATGCATGGGGCTTTAGAAAAGGCTGGGTTGGAGGGAGCAGAGGAGGGCATGGATGGAATGCAGGGGTCCCTGGAAGCTTCAGGCCAGAGGCACTTGGGAGTGGGGAAGGCATCATGGAGAAAAAGGTCAGGGCTCCTTCCATGCCCTGAGGTCACAGCGGGTCTCCCTCTCTCCCAGCTTCTCCCTGGGCTCTTGTGTCTGGGAGTCAGGGCTGGCTCAGCTGGGGTTCTTTGGTGAGTGGGAAGGACATAGGGCACTCAGCGTCTCAAGTGCAAATTTTAACATAATCCTCAATGAGAGGTTTCGCCCAGTAGCCTCCTGTCCACAGATCCCATGTCTCCTTGCTGCACTCCTGAGGGGGTTGCCCAGCCAGGGACACGAGGCGTTTTACTTTTCCCTGCCAAGTGAAAAACCATGTTAATCTGTGAGGCCAGCTCTGTCCTGGAGAGTTGTCACTTTCTAGGTGCTCACACCACACACATGTATATATATATATATACACATACCATGAGGTCATTGACACTTACCAAGGGGGCGAACCAGGGATGTCAGGATCCACGGGGCCCCACCCAGGGGCTGCTGGGAAGGCACTTTTGTCCAAGGAGGTACCCCGGCCTGAACCTCCGCTGTTCCCTTTTTTTTTTCCTTCCACAGGTGCCTCTACCTCCCCTTTCAAGCCTTATCATCCTTTCTGGGCCTTCTTGCCCCATTGGGGTAAAACCGCGAGTGTGACATGCACCGTGGGTGAGCACCAGGGACGCCAGGATCACCAGGGCCCTGTGCAGGGTCTGCTGGGAGGGCACTTTCATCTGTGGGGGGACCCAGGCACCCCTTCTCTGCCTCGCCATTTTTTTTCTTCCACAGGTGTCTCTACCTCCCCTTTCTAGCCTTATCTTCCATCCTGGGACTTCTTACCACTTTGGGGTGCCCCCCATGGGTGTGACATGCACCTTGGGTGTGAATCAGGGATGGAACTAACCCCGGAGCCCTGTGCAAGTGCTGCTGGGAAGGCACTTTAGTCCATGTGGGGACACAGGCCCCCCTCCTCTGCCGCACGTATTTTTTACCTTCCACTAGTGCCTGTTGCTGCTTTGGGTTTCCCCCCAGTGGGAGGGACAGGCATCGTTGGGGCGAACCAGGGACACCAGTATCCCCAGGACCAAGCTCAGGAGCTGCTGGGAAGTCACTTTCATCCATGGGGGGACCCATGCCCACCTCCTCTGCCGTGCCGTTTTTTATTCCTTCCACAGGTGCTTCTACTTTAAGCTTCAAGCCTTCTCTTCCATTCTGGGCCTTCTTGATGCTTTGGGGTGCCTCCCGCAGGTGCAACACGCACTGTGGGTGTGAACCAGGGATGCCAGGATCCCCCGGGCCCTGTGCAGGGTCTGCTGGGAGGGCACTTTCATCCGTGGGTTGACCCAGGCCCCCCTTCTCGACTGCGCCATTTTTTTCCTTCCACAGGTGCCTCTACCTCCCCTTTCAAACCTTATCTTCCCTTCTGGGCTTTCTTGCCCCTTCCGGGTGCCCCCACCACCATGACAGGCAACGTGGGTGTGATCCAGGGATGCCAGAAATCCCGGGGACTCCGTAGGGGCTGCTGGGAAGGCACATTCTTCTGTGGGGGGACCCAAGCACCCCTCCTCTACGGTGCCCATTTTTTTCCTCCACAGGTGCCTCTACCTCCCCTTTCAAGTCTTGTCTTCCTTTCTGGGCTTGCTAGAAGCTTTGGGGTGCCCCCCATAGGTGCGATATGCAGCGTGGGTGTGAACCAGGGACGCCAGGATCCCCGGGGCCCAGTGCAGGGTCTGCTAGGAAGGGACTTTCGTCTGTGGGTGGACCCAGGCCCTCCATCTCAGCCCCACCATTTTTTTTTTTCCTTCCACAGGTTCCTCTACCTCCCCTTTCTAGCATTAACTGCCATTATGGGCCTTCTTGGAAGTGCTGGGAACTGCAGAACCACAAAAAGGGAATCACAGCCCTGGCTCAGGAAGCTCCCACGTCTGGGCTCCTGAAAAGAGTAGTAGCTCTTCTCTTTTTCTCTTCACCTACAACTTGGTGAGCAAGGGGCGTGTTTCAGCTTTGTTTGTGTTACTGCTTTTAGCCCCACCATTAGGCGGGTCTTGTCCTGCAACCAGGAAGAATGAAATATGCAGACAAGTGGAGAGTGAGCAAGATAAAGAGGACCTTTATTGAGCAATAGAATGGGGAAGGGGGGACCTCCTGGGCCCTCGAGAGCACTAGGGGACCTTGTTTGGTAACTGCAACCTGGGCAGCTTCAGTTGTGCCTTTGGAGCTACTGCCCTGCCAACTTGGGAGGACCAGGACTCCCTCTTGTCCCAGGATCCCATCAGCTCCAAAGTGTGCACAGCCTCAGCTTTGCCCTCTCTCTGTTTCCGTGCAGAGGTGACAGGTGAGATGCAGGTTCACAGCAGCTCTGGTCAACCCCACAGAAACAAATCTGAAGCTCCTGGGTCCGGTTTAATGAGCCCCAACTGCGCTCTGATCCAGGAGTTTGCAGGCTAACAGCACAAAGTGGGGAGTGAGGTCGAGGCTGTGGTGGAGACTGCGGACCTAGGGGCAAGTCCCGTTTAGCCGTGAGAGGGTATGGGTGGCACAGTTGGCTGCCTCAGGGACATGGGGCACAGGCCTGGCTGACAACCCAGCCAAGAGGTGGTGCCTTTAGGAGTGGATCGTGGTCCACAGGCCCAGCAATCGGAAGCATCAGGCTCTGTGTTCACCCCTCTTGGGGGCAGATCTTGGAAATGCAGCCTCAGGAAGATTCACACAGAACTCCTTTTTAGACCTAGGAACTTGATACTATTAGCAGGGTGGGCACACAGTTGATGCATAGCTGGCCAGGTCATTGAACTTGGTGCCATTTCTGCTTCCCAACTCGGGGCCCTGGAGCATGGCCCCAGCTCTGCCTTTGGAACCTGACAACCACACTTCATGTGCAAGCACGGCACCACCCCAAGCCCATCTTCTCCTCATGGCCCCTTTCTGCCTGTGCCTTTGTGCCCGACCGAGCTGCTCCCCACAGTCGAAAAAGTATGAAAAAACAGATGACTAAAGAGAAGTAAAGGATGGGTGCAGACCATTCGCACACCTGTAATCCCAGCACTTTGGGAGGCCAAGGTTGGCGGATCACTCAAAGCCAGGAACTCAAGACCAGCCTGGTGAACAGGGTAAAACCCTGTCTCTACGAAAAATACAAAAATTAGCAGGCTTGGTGGCACGTGCCTGTACTCCCAGCTACTTGAGTGGTTGAGGCACGAGAATCACTTGAGCCCCACAGGAAAGGATTCCAGTGATCCCAGATTGCACCACTACACTCCAGCCTGAATGACAAAGCAATATTTTTGTCTCCAAAAATAAAAAAATAAATAATGAAATAAAAGAACAAGAATGGGTGGGAATTACTCAAAATGGTCTAATTTTATTTGGCTGCTATGATGTTCCGCAGCTGAACCTCAATCACAGACAAACTAGTGCCTCGTTATTTTTCCATCAGTAACTCAATAACTAGAGATTTCTGATGTATAAATCCCTAAAACAAGTAAATCAATTACAGAGGACACCAGAAAGTTTTCACTGAGGTTCTCTATTTCTGATATTTCTTGGTAATCATCCTTGCAGGGATAACATTCTCATCACTGAAGAATTTTAGTTTCTCTTTCTGACTCTGTAGCTCTCATTGACTCCACCTCAATATTTTCCTCAAGTCTTGCCCCCTGCTCTTAGGATTTTTTCCCTCGCACTGAGCACCTGTCTGAAACAGAGCTCTGTGCTTCCTTTAAGTTGCACATGTGGCCTGGGCACAGTCGCTCATGCCTGTAATCCCAGCACTTTAGAAGGCCGAGGCAGGAGAATCCCATGCGACCAGCAGTTTGAGACCTGCTGGGGCAACATAGTGAAACACTTTCTCAATTTTTTTGTAATAAAAATATTGGAATTATTAAAAAAGGAAATAAGAAAAGAGGAAAATAACTTGCACCTACATACTAGATTTTAGTGTCCAAGGGCCTAGAAGAGAACATTGGATTTCTCTACCCCGCTAGGCACGCCTTCCCTAGCAGCAAAGATGGAGCTCCAGTTCCTCAGACGGTGATGAGCCACAGGACGGGCAGGGGGCGGGGCCAATGAAGATCCTCTTGGGCTGCCTGACTTCCCTTAGTGTACACATCAACTAAGCCCGAAGTGGGGTGAAGATCTCCCAATCGACATGAACCAAGGAATTCAAACTCTCCTCGGGGGCAGGATACATCTCCAGGCTTAACTTGCTCAGCCCACTGGTGTGGCACAGCAGGTCCTTCAGGGCTTCCATAGACATGCAATTTCTGCCAAAGTAGAAGGTGGTGAGCTGGGAGCAGCGGCTCAGGCCAGGCAGGATGGCACTGAGTTGGGAGTAGTGGATCTGACAGCCCTCCAAGATGAGGGTCTTAAGAGTAATTGCTGCCTCTCTCGAGACCCTCGTGTTGGCAGAAACTTTCTCCAGCAGAGCTCCGAGGGGTTCAAGACTGATACAGAACTGCAGCATGTAGCTGAGATTCAGATGCTTTGGGTAAGCGAGGCTTGGGTACTGGTAGAGACACTTCAAGTCCTCTTCCAATAGGTAGCCGCAAGTTAATTCCAAGTTCTCCAAGGGGTTCTAGAGGCACCTGTGGAGATCAAGAAGTTAGTTCTGGGCAATGGTACCAGTTAGATGAAGGTAGTGGGGAATGAACTCAAGGAAAATACCTGCTTCAACCAAACACAAGTTTGTTCCCACCATCTGATGATGGTCCTCATGCAAGTTGCTGCATGTTGAGGACCCTGATCATTCAGGGGCTGTCCCATTTTAGCCTCAGCCCTTTCACCATTTCTTGTGTGATTGGGTCAAGGCCACAAAATCTCTAAAGCCTTTTATCTTCATCTTTTAGCAGAAAACCTCATCTCTGGGCCACAGGTACCCGGTGGGAGATGTGCACAAAGAACTCAACTCAGCAAGGTCTAGGGACATTAGCTGGGGCTACCTGCCGGCAGGGGCTCCCTGGCCTGCCTGCATCTGCAAACCAACTGTCACTTTTTACCACTCTCACTCCTACTCCTTCACCCTCCATCCCAGAAGCATGCATGTCCCATGTCAATTGACTTTCCTGGAGTTCAAAACAACCTTCTACAGACAGGGAATCAGAGACAGGATCATTCATGATCACTAAGCTGGTGAGGACAGAGCTTCTACTGTGAAATGCACAAGTTTGATGCACTGTCCCTCCTTTCATACCCTCCTTTGTTACCTCTTTTACATCATATCAACTTGAAACACACTTTGTAACAAGAAATTCACACGTGCACATGCAGTAGAGACAAAACGCCCACTAAGTACCTTGTACATGATGTCCCTCTCTAGCCTCTACCCTAGGTGACCCCTCTGCCTTTATTGAAGTGATCCTGTGATAGCCACTCCAGGACATGGAGCACTGAACGGGACAATGTGTTGACATTCTGGTGTCCCCTGCACTGTGCCGTCGCCACTGGCTGGCACACAGTACACGTCTTCTAGTGTTTACTGTAACAAAAAAAAAGGCTGCGCTGTGGTCTGCAGAGAAAGGGCACGATCCTTTCTCACCTGATCAGCTGTCCCAGGTGCCCTCTGTGGAAGGTGACCATATTCATTTTAAGCAGCTGGAGGTGTTTCAGCCTGAGGAACATAGAGCTGATTTTGGCGACTGAGCATTCCTCGCGGTAATTGACGTGTAAGGATGGCACCTGGAGAAAAATGAGTTTGCGAAGATTCTTCATCTCCTTCAGGTAACAATGAAGCTTTCTTATCAGATGTGGCCAGGACACATAGCAAATTTCCAGCTCCTGAATACTATTCAGGTGGATTATTTTCAATGATCTTCTGAGATATTCAATCGACGTTAGATAATTCACCAACTTACTACAGCACAGGTGTACTAAACCTCTCCTTTGGTAAACCCACCGGAAGAGGTATCTCAGGCATTCATCCTGGGGTATTTCCTTGAGGCAGATGTCTATGAACACCTTCAAGGGCTGGTGCTCTCCCATCCTTGGACAGTCCTCTGCTGTCTGCCTCTTACTCATGGCCTCTGGGGAGGAGGACAGGGCCCTGGATTCAGACCATATGGCCCAGAAATTCTCATCAACATCCCGCAAATCCAGCACTTGAAGTTTCCACCTCCTGTGGGTAAAGTAAGGCAGAGGCTCAGAACTTTGAAGGACAAATCCCTGACCTTTGCTTTCATTCTCATCCAATAAATCAGCTGCTCCTGTCCTCGCTGCTCCCTGTTCTCTCTGAGTTTTCTTGGTCCCTTTTCTCTTTCAATTCTGACTGGTCCCCACTTCTATTCCATTTACCTTCCACTGGGAATAGGCAAGTTTCTGTTCCCACAGTGGACCCTATATTGTGGGCAGTTCTTTCCCTGAGGATCTGGGCAATGGCCAAGGCATGCCTGAGCTTCGTCACCAGCACCACCAGAAGACACTGGGCCATCCTTGGGATACTTCTTTGCCTGACCCTGCTGTTCTTTCCCTGGACACCTGAGCCCCATCTACCAGCCTTCCTGGGTCACCTCACCTGGGGCGATCCTTCTGTGTAAGCAGCATGTGAAGCCCTTCCAGCAATGCTTTTAAGGTCTCCAGATGAAGCGTCTTCATCAGCGATCCCAGAGGGAGGCGGGTGAAGGGCCAGGCCTGCACCATCACTGTCAGAGTCTGGAAGTGTCTCCTGCTGAAGGCCTCCAGGAAGAGTGGGAGGTAGAGCTCCCTGGGCAGCTCCTCCAGGGCAGAGATGGCCAAGGGCTTGTCTCTCAGCAGACTCTGCCCCGCCAGCTCCAGGAGTCTGGGTGGGGCCTGGATGCTCATCCTGATGAATCTGTAAGGAAAAACTCTAGAAGACAAATCCAGAGAAAAGGCATCACTTTCAGGCCAAACACAATCACCTCATCTTCTCCTAAGGCCAGTAGCATTGCTCTGGTAGAGGTAGAAAAATTACCACTTTACCCCAATTCCACTCTGCACTTGGTGGCCACAAATCTATATTTCTGCTTCTGCTGGTACCAGGAAGAATGTCTTCCAAACACCAAGGAGGGAGGGGTCAAAGAGACCACTGGCCCATTAATTTTCATCCATGGCTCCACTGAATCCCAGTACCACTGGAAAGTGTCACTGAGGATCCTGAAAGCCAAGCTCTACCTCTTTGAGGAAAATTTTCTTGTCACTTACCGCCCTAAAGCAATGAGAATGAGAGTGTCCTGTGGCCCCAGACAGCCTCCATTCTCAGTTTTCACCATGAACATGCTGGGGGAACACTAAAGGGACTCCCTAAAGTCAATGCCATTATTTTTTATTTTGAAAAATTTCAACCAGAAACTGACCGGGTGCTGTGGCTCATGTCTGTAATCCCAGCACTGTGGGAGGCCAAAACAGGCAGATCACTTGAGGTTAGGAGTTCGAGAACAGCCTGGCTTACGTAATGAACTCTGTCTCTACTAAATATAAAAAAATTAAAAATCATTTGACTCCAAAAGGCAGAGGTTGCAGTGAGCCGAGATCCCACCACTGCACTCCAGTCTGGACAAAAGAGTTAGACTCTGTCTCAAATAATAATAATAATAATAATAATAATAATAATTAATTAATTAAAATG
The DNA here is from genome assembly GCF_000001405.40 of Homo sapiens. NCBI lineage: Eukaryota > Metazoa > Chordata > Mammalia > Primates > Hominidae > Homo > Homo sapiens. Next base: position 94,372 of record NW_015495298.1, read on the forward strand.
TTAGCCAGGTGTGGTGGTGCAGTCCTATAATCCTAGCTACTCTGGAGGCAGAGGAAGAAGAATCACTTGAATCCCGGAGGCAGTGTTTTCAGTGAGCTGAACTCAACACCCTGCCCTTCAGCCTGGGTGACAGAGTGAGACTCCATCTCAGAACAAGAGAAAAGAATTAACCAGAAACTAAAAGCGACGTGATGGTATTCTAGAGCATTTGGAAGGTAGGGATAGAAATACTAACTCTAGATGAGGCACAGTGGCTCACTCCTGTAATCCCAGCACTTTGGGAGTCCAAGGTGTGTGTTTTTATTTTGAAAAACTGTAAGAGAAATTATAAAAGCAGTGTTGCAGTAGTCTAGAGCACTTGGAAGGTAGAAATGGAAACACTAAGTCTGAGGAGAAGGATCCAATACACATCCCTTCCACATACTCACAATCACACACTTAGGGACAGAGTCTAAGGGAAGAGATAAATCCCAGGTTCGGAACAAGTCTCTTGAGAATGGTGTACGGGAGATCTAAGATTTCTGTAAAATGAAAGCCTGACTAATAAAATCACAATACCGCTAAGTGTGTGAACTATAGCTGACAGGCACAGAAACCAACAACTTCACATGTCAAGACATAAACATCCATCCAACTGTAAATTTTTAATATTTTTTTTTTAAAAACTGCTTCAATAAGAATTTTGAAATGAGGAAAATGAAGCACAAATCAAAATTTGAGGGATGAAGTCAAAACTATATTTGGAGGAAAAATCAAAACCTACATCTGTTTAATCTGAAAAAACAGACAGGAAATTCTCTGTGCCATTTTGGGCTGTGTGTCACCATCCCTGACTGGCTGGCTGCAGATTAGACGGGCATGTTCCTAAGAAGGTGGTGACTTACCAGATCTGGACTCAGTTTGCAGGGTGCTGGGACCTCTCAGAGAACCAAGCAGTAGCTCCAGGCACCAGGGCTTTGGGTCTGTCCTGTGCAAACTCAGGAGCTTTTGTTGATGTTTCTAACCACACCCTCCCCTTCTCAATCACCAGCTTCCAATCAGAAAGTGATACCTGATTAGATCCTGAAGTTCCACCCAGTTAATCCTGATTGAGTTTCACACTTTCTTCTGATTCATTGATTAAATTAGATGTGCATTTATGAAAGTGAAAGAATAAATAACAGGGTGAAAGTCCAAAAGTCATTAATTCATTTATTCCCCAAACACTGATGAAGTTTGACTAACATGTGACCTTCATAGTGACATGGAAGGTTTAATCTGTTCCTGGCATTAGAAAGAAAAAACAAAACCTGATGATATCTTTATGGGAGAATATTTGGCCACATTGAAATTATCCAAACGTTTCAGAGCTAAGACAGCTTTAAAAAGACGGTGATGTCAACCCTAAGAAAACAGAATACAAAGCTCTGTTATCCAACAGTTACCTGGGTTTTATGCTTCCTAACGGGGCAGGTCATATGTGGGTTCAGGTTGAAGAGGGGAACCACTGAGGGTGTTATTGATCACAAGACTAAGGTCAAGGCTTCACTGCAGGAAATCAGGACAGAATGACAAAGTGAGGTGGGGGCTGGGCAGGATGGGACCGGGTGTTCTAGTAGAACCCTGGGAAGGAACCAAGACAGCATAAAACATGGTGGGTATTTTGTGGGCATCTCCACAGAAGGATTGAAAGACTCTGTCTGGATTGAGTTTAAAAATTAAAAAGGGAATAGTTACAGAAGAGACAGTGCAGACTCTTCAAACACAACATTGTCTTTGAGGGCAGAGAAGGCAGAAACAGTCTTGGCCCCTACTAGAAGGGAAAGCGTGTTTACTCCCAAAAATGATGGGCTCGCCTCAGAAAATCAGCCTGGGAAGATGGAATCTGAGAATCTGAGCTGGGGCAGATGCCAGAGAGAAGCAGTGTGGCCAGACCTGGGAAGGGAGACTTTCCCAACCTGGAAGCCATCGAAGGTGGGAGCTGTGGGTTTTGCAGGATGTGGGAGAAAGTGAACAAGGGTCCAAGTCTCTGTCATGGTGCTATGGTCTGGAAACCTTTCTTTTAGACTCAGGGATCTTCCCACAGTGGGACATTTCCCAGCAACCCTCACCCACAGGTGTTTCCCAGGGCCCCTCATCCTCATCAATACCCTCGTGCCATTCCCCAGCATATTTTGATAATTAATGTTCTGCCATCCTTAAAGTCCTCCCTTGTCCCTGATATTGAACAGAGAGATTCTGATTAAAGTGATACCATTAGGTATACAAAGAAAACTCAGGCCATGTGTGGTGGCTCATATCTCTAATTTCAGCACTTTGGGAGGCCAAGGCAGATAGATTACTTGAGCGCAGGAGTTTGAGACCTGCCTGGGCAACATGGAAAATTCTGTCTATAAAAACTATATACGAAAAATTAGCCAGGCATGGTGGTGTGCACCTGTAGTCCCAGCTGCCCAAGAAGTTTAGATGCGAGGATCACCTGAGCCCAGGAGGTTGAGACTGCAGTGAGCCATCATTGTGCCACTGCACTCCAGCCTGCTCAACAGAATGAAACCTTGCCTCAAAAAAAAGGAAGGAAAGAAGGAAGGAAGGGAGGGAGGGAGGGAGGGAGGGGAGAGAAAAAGACAGAAGGAAACAGAAAGAAAGGTGGAAAGAAAGAAAAAGAAAGAAGAAAGAAAGTAAGAAAAAGAAAGAAAGAAAGAAAAAGAAGGAAAGAAGGAAGGAAAGAAAAAGAAAGAAGAAAGAAAGAAAGAAAGAAAGAAAGAAAGAAAGAAAGAAAGAAAGAAAGAAAGAAAGAAAGAAAAAGAGCGAGCCTTCTTGTCTTTAAGAGCAGCGCATATATACTGTTATATTGGGTGCACACCTAAAATACATTTCCCCCACAAAACCTGGAAGCTCTATTTCATGTTGAAATATCTGCTAAGTTCACGGATGGCTCCCATCCTAAGAGGGATCACACAGTGATTCTTCCGATGTTTTAGGGCACAAAGTAGCAAGAACCTCCCCTGCCTCCAGAAAGTCCTCCAGGCCTTTCTCTCCCATTCTATATGAAAACCAAACAGCTCTGAGATGCCACTGGCCTCCAAAACTGGAGTACTTTGAAGGGTGTTCTCTATCTTGAAATGTTTCTGTAAATGTTCTTTCTCCACATTTCTGACCTCACTGTCAATGCCCTGCTATGTGTGCAATTGAGTTAAACTGAAATGTGTTCAGTGGGGCTTCTACTTTGCCTGCCCTCACTTTGTGAGCCTGAGGCTGAGGTTGAGCTCAGCACCAAGGGTGATCGTGAGTGTCTCTGGTGACTGAGCATCCACGAGGCACAGCAGGGGCTGGTATCATTCATCCAAGATCTCAGCTCTCCCTCACAAATAATCTAAAGCATGTTGGTGACCCTGAGATTTGGCTAGCAAGAGGAATCTGCCCATGTTCAGACAACAAATGATTGGCAGACCCCTCAGGTGAGAGGCTCAGAGGATCCCCTAAGCAGTTCAACAACCTAAATGTTGGAAAAAACTGGCTGACAGACTTTCCATTCTTTCCCAATTCAGAAGGTCCAGCAAGTAGTGGTTGGTCTCAGGAAGATGGAAAATCACAAACAACAGTTAAAAAAAGAAACTAAGCAAAGGAACACTGGCAAGACACTGTGCCAGTGCCCCCCCCTTTCACCAAGAAGGAAGGCCTCCCACTCCTGAGCCCACTGCGCCCAAGCTTCCACAAGGCCTACATACCCCTAGGCTGCCCAGAGTAGAGAAGAAAGGGTGCAAGACCTCAGGATGCAAGACCCTCCCTTGGCTGCCCGTATGAGGCCTAGAACTGGGATACAAATGTCCCTGAGAGAGCAACAGTATACTGGAGTAGACGAGGATGGGCTTATGGTGGAAAGACGTGCCTTTGTGTACCAACCCTTCACCTCTGCCCATCTCCTCCATTGGAAAACAATACCCCATCCTATACCGAAAAGCCTCAAGCTATAATTTATTTGCTCCAAACTGTTATCCAGACCCACAACCCCACCTGGGCTGATTGCCACCAGGTGCTCATGCACCTCTTTAACACAGATGAAAGGTGGAGAGTGCTCCAAGTGGCAACTAAGTGGCTGGAAGAACATGTTCCAGCTGATTACAAAATCCCCGAGGGTATGTGAGGATCCAACTAGCAGGAACAGACCCCCAGTGGGACCCAAATGAAAGACAGGGTATGCAAAGCCTAAACCAGTACAGGGAAGTCCTTCTGGAAGGATTACAGGCGTGAGCTGCCTCACCCGGCCTTGAATGAGTGAATTCTTGACTTCTACCCTATCCCTAACACTGTCAATTTCCTGATTCATGCAATTAATATGGATATCTGATATGAATGGATATCTGATTCAATCCATTAATCTGGGGAGAGCCAAAAACCCAATCAGGATTAACTGGGTGGAGCTTCAGAAATGCAATCAGATATCACTTTTTGATTGGAAGCTAGTGATCCGCCTGCCTTAGTCTCCCAAAGTGCTAGGATTGCAGGCATGAGCCACTGCACCTGGCCGGTATTTTCTGTTTTGTACAAGATGTTCCAGAAAGAAAGGCAAATATGGAAAGTTGTCTAATTCATTTCATAAGAGAGCAGTAACCCATATTTTAAAAATGGCTAAGGATATTAGAAGGAAAGTAAATTTAAACTTATTTGGCAAAAGTTTTTTTTCTTTTTTCTTTCTTTTTTTTTTTTTTTGAGACAGAGACTCACTCTGTCATGCAGGCTGGAGTGCAGTGGCACAATCTCACCTCACTGCAACCTCTTACTCCCAGATTCGAGCAATTCTCCTGCCTCAGCCTCTCTAGTAGCTGGGATTAGAGCCACATGCCACCACATCCAGCTAATTTATGTAGTTTTAGAAGAGGCAGAATTTCTCTGTGTTGGCTAGAACTCCTGACCTCAGGTGATCCACTTGCCTCGGCCTCCCAAAGTGCTGGGATTACAGGCATGAGCCACCACGGTCAGCCAGAAAAAAGTACTTAATAAATTATCAGTTAACTAAATGCAACACTGCATTAGAAAGTGATAGACAGGCCAGGCTCCGTGGCTCATGCCTGCAATCCCAGCACTTTGAGAGGCCGAGGCAGGTGGATCACCTCAGGTCTGGAGTTCGAGACCAGCCTGACCAACATGGAGAAACCCCATCCCTACTAAAAATACAAAATTAGCCAGGTGTGGTGGCGCATGCCTGTAATCCCAGCAACTCAGGAGGCTGAGGCTGGAGATTTGCTTGAACCAAGAAGGTGGAAGTTGCAGTGAGTCGAGATCATGCCATTGCACTTCAGCTTGTGCAAAAAGAGTGAAACTCCACCTTAAAAAGAAAAAAAAAAGAAAAAAAGAAAGCAATATAGTGATATATAATGGCCATTCCAGGAATGCCAGCCAATCACAGGAAAATCTAAGTGTAATTCAGCATACTGACAAACTAAAGGGGGAAAAGCAAGGTTCCTACAAAATGCAGAAAAGAATTGCAGAAAAATCAAATTAAATTTATCATAACATAACTGAACAGCTTAATGAGTTGACATTCTAGCATCCCATTCCCTGTGACATCCCCAGTGGATGGCACACAGTAGATGCCCACTAACGTTTACTGTGAAAAAGAACAAAACTATGTGTTATGGTCTGCAGAGAAAGCCCACCATCGTTTCCTACCTGAGCAGGTGCTCCAGGTGCTCTTTGATATTACTGACCTTTCTTATATAATGCATCTGGGGGTAGTACAGGCACAGGAATGGCCAATCCAAGTCAGGAATGAACTGCCATTGGCCGCTCACGTATAATTCAGGCTCATAACCGAAGGCTAAAAAGTTTGCGAAGATTGCTCATCTGGCTCAGGTAAGGGGCAAACTTTCCCGTTTTATTGAGAGAGCACTTTTTCCAGACTTCCAACTCCTGGATACTGTCTGGGTATATCCTTTCCAATAGATTTCTGAAACTTGAAGTGGGCATTGAGTAATTCTGCACCTTACTACAACACAGGTGCACTAGGCCTCTTCTGTAGTGGATCCACCTTCAGAGGTAGCTCAGGCATTCATCCAGTGTACTTTCCTTCAGGCAGAGGTCTATGAACACCTTCAAGGGCTGGCACTCTCCCATCCTTGGACAGTCCTCCACTGTCTGCCTCTTACTCATGGCCTCTGGGGAGCAGGGGAGGACCCTGACTCCAGACCATATGGTCCAGAAATTCTCATCAACATCCCTCAAATCCAGCACTTGAAGTTTCCACCTCCTGTGAGTAACATAAGGGAAAAGCTCAGAATGTAGGCGAGGACCGACCCTTGACCTGAACTTTCACTCCACATCCAGGACATGAGTCAGCTGCTCCTGTCCCAGTGCTCCTCCTTCTGTCTTTTCTCCATCCTGTTCCCCCTTGGATTCTGCATGGTACCCACTTCTAGTACCTTTACCTTCCACTGGGAGGAAGCAGGTTCCTGTTTCCTCAGTGGACTCTGTATGGTGAGCAGTCCTTTTCCAGAGGATCTGGGCAATGGCCAAGGCCTCTCATGGGTACCATCAGAAGCCTCTGAGCCACCCTAGCTCCCACACACTGCCACTCCTCCTGAGCCAGCTGTCCCTTCCCTGGATGCCTGGACCCTTCCCACCAGGCCACCTGAGTCACCTCAACTGGGGCAAACCTTCTGGGACACTAGTGTATCAAGTCCCTTCAGCACAGCTTGCAAGGTCTCCAGATGAGTTGTCTTCATCAGGGATCCCAGAGGGAGGTGAAGGGAGGACCAGGCCTGCACCATCAGCTTCAGGGCCTCACAACATCTCATGCTGAAGGCCTCCATGAACGTCAGAGGGGAGACCTCCCTGGGCAGCTAGTCCAGGGTGAAGATAGTCAAGAACTGCTTCCTCATCAGGCTCTGCCCTGCCAGCTCCAGGAGTCTGGATGGGGTCTGGAGGCTCATTCTGACAAATCTACAAGGAAAAACTCTACAGCACAATCCAGCAAAAAGGCAAGTTCCTCCGACCAATCCCCTGCAACCCCCAATTCTCCCAGGGCCCAAGTCATTTCTCTAGCATGTGTGAAAGAGCCCTCAGTTTACTCCAGTTCCTTTCTGCAATAAGTGGCCACAGAGACATAGTTCTACCCTTCTGGTACCATGAAGAATGTGTCCCAACTTCTAAAGAGCAGGCAAGATCCCTCGTAGTCCATGAATTATTAGCCACTGATCCACTAAACTCATAGCACTGGCAAATGTTACCGAGGATCTCTGAAGCTCAGATCTCGTACCCAGCTAATCTTTTATTTTTTGACTTTTTGTAAAGACAGTGGGTTTCACTATGTTGTCCAGGCTGGTCTTGAACTCCTAGACTCAAACAATCCACCCACTTTGGCCTCCCAAAGTGCTGGGATTGCAGGCATGAGCCTCTGCCTGGTCTCATTATTGAAAATTTCAGCAAGAAGCTTTGAAAGCTATGTGACAGTGTTATGCATCATTGGCAAGACACAGATGTTTCCAATACACACCTCTCACACATATTCAAAATGAACCACTTTGGCTGTGTGCAGTGACTCACACCTGTAATCCCAGCCCTCTGGGAGGCAGAGGCAGGTGGATTATCTGAGGTCAGGAGTTTGAGACCAGCCTGGCCAACATGGTAAAACCCTACCTCTACCAAAATTAGAAAAATTAGCCAGGTGCGGTGGTCTGCGCCTATAGTCCAAGCTACTAGGGAGGCTGAGGCAGGAGGATCACTTGAACCCAGGAGGCAGAGGTTGCAGTGAGCTGACAATACACCACTGCACTCCAGCCTGTGAAATAGGCTAGATTCAAAAAAAAAAAAAAAAAAAAGAAAAGAAAAGAGAGAGAGAGAGAGAGAGAACTACATTTGATTCGACTTCTTAAACTCTACCCAGTTAATCCTGATTGGATTTTTGGCTTTCTTCCAGATTAACTGATTGAATTAGATATTCATCCATGAAAGTGAAAGATTTAGGGATAGGGTGAAAGTCCAGGACTCATTCACTGATTCCCTCCACAAACATGGAGGTTTACTAATATGTGTCCTTCATAGTCCTGAGTGTGAGATAGGGAAGTGTTGAATCTCTTCCTGATATTAGACAGAAAGAAAGAAAACTTGAAAGTATCTTTGTTGAGGGATCCTTGGCCACATCAAATTTATCAAAATATTTCAGAGTTAAAACAGTTTTCAAAGACGGAGTTGACAGTCCCCAATAACACACAATAGAAATCTTCATGTATCCAGTGATCACCTGGGTGGTATAATCTAATTTTTTTTGGTGTGGGTGAAGCTGAGTCTCACTTTGTCGCCCAGGCTGGAGTGCAGCGGCTCCATCTCAGCTCACTGTAACTTCCGCCTCTGAGATTCAAGCAATTCTCATGCTTCAGCCTTCCATGTAGCTGGGATTACAGGCATGCACCCTCACACCCATGTCTCCATTCGGGAGGAAGAATTACAGTGAGGATGTGATTGGTTTAAAATTAAGGTCAAAGATTCTCTTTGGTTAAGGTTTTTTGTTTGTTTGTTTTCGTTTTTGTTTTTAGCAGGGTCTTACTCTGTTGCCCAGGCTGGAGTACAGCAGTGGTGTGAGCATGGCTCACTGCAGCCTCAATCTTCTGGGCTCAAGTGATTCTCCCATGTCAGCAAACCAAATAGCTGGGAATACAGATGCATGCTACCATGCCTGGCAAATTAAAAGATATATATATTTTGTAGAGGCTGACCACCATTGGCTCACGGCCGTCATTCCAGCACTTTTGGGGGCCTAGGCAGGAGGATCACTTGATGTCAGGAGTTTGAGACCAACCTGGCCAGCATGGTGAAACCCCACCACTACTAAAAATACAAAAATTAAGCAGACATGGTGGCAGAGGGATGTAATACCAGCTACTCAGGAAGCTGAGACATGAAAATTGTTTGAGCCTGGGAGGAAGAGGTTGCAGTGAGTTGAGCTCTTGCCACTGCACTCCAGCCTTGGCAACAGGGTGAGACTCCATCCCTGCTTCAAAAAAAGAATGTTTTGTAGAGCTGCATTTTTGCCATGTTGCCCAGGTTGGTCTCAAACCCCTGGGCTCAAATGATCCTCCCGCTTTGGCCTCCCAAGGTGTTGAGGTTATGGGCATGAGTCATTGCTCCCATCAAGAATTTTGAAATGACATAAACCAAAGCACAATCCAATTTTTTGAAATAAAGACAAAACTGCATATAGAGGAAAAAATTCAAATCTTCAAATTGTTCATATATATATATATAAAAGACAGATATAGCTCGGTGCCATCATAGGCTGCATTGCCCCCGTCCCAGACCGGCTGACTATAGGTCAGATGGGAGTGTCCTTCCAGAAATGAGTGACTTACTAGATCTGGACTGAGTTTGCAGAGTGCTTAGACCTCAGGAAGAACCAAGCAGGAACTCCAGACTTGAAGACTTTGGGTCTCTCCTGTGGGCCTTCAGAAACTTTTATCGATCTTTCTAATCACAACTCCCACCCACACCCCTCCATCTATCCAGTGCTTGCTTCCAATCAAAAAGTGCTATCTGATTGCATTTCTGAAGCTCCACCCAGTTAATCTTGATTGGGTTTTTGGCTGTCCCCAGATTACTGGATTGAATCAGATATCCATTCATATCAGCTATCCATATTAAGTTCATGAATCAAGAAATTGACAGTGTTAGGAATAGGGTGGAAATCAAGAATTCACTCATTAAAGGCCAGGTGAGGTGGCTCACACCTGTAATCCCTGCACTTTGAGAGTCCAAGTTGGCTGGATCACCTGAGGTCAGGCGATCAAGACCTGCAAGGCCAACATGATGAAACCCCATTTCTACAAAAACACAAAAATTAGCCTGGCATGATGGCAGGTGCCTGTAATCCAGCTACTCAGGAGGCTGAGGTGGGAGAATCGCTTGAATCCAGGGGGCAATGGTTGCAGTGAGCCAAGATTGCACCATTGCACACCGTTCTGGGTGACAGAGGTAGACTTTGTCACAAAAAAAAAAAAAAAAAAAAAAAAAAAGAATTCATTCATTCATGAACTCCGCAAACACTGATGGAATTTTACTGATATATGACCTATATAGTCCTGAGTTTGAGGCAGGGAAGGGTTTGATCTGTTCTGGATAGTAGACAGAAAAATAAAACCTGAAAGTAGTGTTGGGAGATCTTTGGCCACATCAAAATTATAAAATTGTTTTATAGTTAAAACAGCTTTATAGAAACAAAGAAGTCATCCCTACAAAATCAGAAAAAAAACTCCATGTATCGAATCGTCTTGTGGGTTTTATATCACCTAAGGTAGCAATTTATTTGCTCATGCTGGTGGAAGAGAGGTGCCACTGAGGGCTTGAGTGGTCTCAGGGCTTAGGTTAAGGCTTGTCTGGAAGAAATTGAAACCGTATTTCTAAACTTTATAAATTTAATCGGTGAAAAAGAGAGGGGGAGGAACAAAAACAAACCAAGCTTGAAACGCATTCAGCATTCACCAGGAGGTCAGCTTGCCCTCTGACCTGCTTCCTCATGGTTGCTGGCAGCCTACTGTCCCAAAATCGTGTAGAACTTAGACTACAATTCCCCTTAACTACGCTGCAGACAACAATTTAAGCATTGTGAAACATTAAGTTTTTCATTTGAGATATTCTTTCAGGTTCTGCATGTCAGTGAAACTACTGATGCCAGCTGATCTGAAGGGCCCTGCAAGGCATCAACTCACCAAAGAATGCCGTTCTGACATCGTGATAACTTCATACCTCTTATTGCCATCAAACTACACCAACTTTCCAGCCCCTTGCTATCCAGGATCCACTGGAAACCCTCAGTACTCCTTGGGGAGATGAATTTGAGGATCTCCTCCCAGCTTCTCATTCAGCCACCCTGTGATCATTAAACTTTCTGCTGCAAATCCTGCTGTCTCAGAATATTGGTAAGCTACTGTGCAGCCGGCATAGGAACCTGATGGTCCTGTAACAAATTTATGTCAAAATTACAAAGGGAAGTGAAGGTGGAGGCTGGTCAGGGTTGAGCTGGGTGTTTTAATGGAATCCTGGGAGTGAACAAAGACTTGGTAAATGTGTTGGGGGTTATTGAGAGGGTGGAGGAGGAATCTTTCCAACACTGCACTGAGGCTCCCTTGGTTTTCATACTTGTGACCAAGAATGAGTCTTTCAAAAAAATTTATGTAATTCTCCTCATTTTTCCTTTCAAAACCTTTGTCTTCCTTTACCTCCCCGAATAATCTCACATCTATTCCCATGGCTTTGCTCATTTCATAATAAAAATCCTTTTTTTTTTCCTGTGGAGTCTCTTTCTCTGTTAAGTAGACCATATATTTTGTTGCCACACAAGATGAGTAACCTGGTTTTATGGAGAGAAAGGGACAAAAGAATCCCAATCCTCATCAGCTAGGGGCGATATGAAGGTCAGGATTATTCTTTGTCATATCTGCACCTGCATATTGCCAGTGAAAACCTGCAGGTCACATTAGGTAGACTTCCAAATTGATCATCTGTGGAAGGTCTTATGATTGGCTTACATCCTGTCCCTGAGTAAAGAATCTGATCTTGACTTCATGAGTGCCTGAGACTCTTCAAGTACTGATGAAGGCTTCACCCAGTGACAGTGAGAAGGACACTGATTTGATTCTGATCGTGAAGTTTTGCTGGTTGTCTTGCAAGGAAAATATTTTTGCCTGTCATGTTGTCATCTAAAGTCAATGATTGTAACCTCTGTATTGTCCCTTCCAATGGAAAAAACAAAAACAAAAAAGCTCAACTCTATTAGAGCCTTGCCAGGATAAAACAAAAGAAAATTAAAAAAAAAAAACAACTGATAGGAGGAGTCCCATTCCCTTCTTTCAACCTTTCTTATAAAAGCATTCCAACTTGTAACAGACTTTGGAAAACGCTCATTTTGTCAGTGTGTGTCTTCCAGGTCGATCCTGACATTTAGCTTCCAATGAAGCTTTATTTAATTATTTCTGCCTCAACTGCCTTAACGTCTATTGACAACAGGTTGCACGGTAATGGTTGGAATTGGGGTGGGAGGAAAAAATATTTCTGTGTGTTTTATAAAGTAATCCTTGCATGCCATCTCCATTGAAGAAAGAATAGTTTCCTCTCCAAATATATCCTGAGTATTGATGCATCCAATAAATAAAACTATTATTTCATACAGTAGAGCTATAGATGCATTCTATTTGCCTCTAGAGTTTCCAAAGAACCAATGCCTAGTTTCAGTAAGTTCTCTGATTATATGGCAGAGGGTAACATGGTCATGTTCTGACTCTATGTCTATGTCGATATCTATAGCATTCCCATCTACATAATGCATGTCAAACCAAAGAGTTTGATTCTAGTGGGAGTCTGGAACACTATCTAGGTTAGACCCAGTTACACTAATGTTTTCTAGGCATAGAGATAAATTACCAGTAATGAAATCAATAATAGTCATAGGCCACCCATTTGCACCTATAGCTTCTTCTCAGTACCAAGTCATTTAATTATCAATATTAACCAACCTTCCAAAGGAAGGATAACAAACCTTATCATGAAGTTAGCATCCTCAATTGCTACCCAACTGTGTATGAGAGCAGGTTCTACTATTATCTGTGATCCTTCCCTTTCATCTAAATGACCCCATAGCCAGCAATTGCTTTGGTTAGTGAGAGTGGCTACATTTTGAACAGGAGACCTTAGAAAGTGTTTGGTTTGAGTGATGAAAGTACCTAACAATATAAAATACAGGTTTGAGAATTTTGTGTTAATACAAAACAAAACCAAGTCTCAGTCAATGGAAGAAGATCAAATGGAGTCTTGTTCCATTGTCTTGGAAAAGCTGTCTACCATGTGATGATGTCTGCTTCTAGGGAAGGCTTTTCCTCGGATATCTTTACGTTTCAGTCATCTGGTACAGTCCCATCCATTGCTGCTCATGCGCAGATTTCCCTTGGTGTCATTTCCAAAGGATGCAATCTCCAAATGCTAGGGCAGGAAGATCTAAGCATCACTGAAAGCCTTCACCTACTGGAAATAGTCTTTGAAATTCTGCATCAAGGTCTTGCAGTATTGATTCATATTGTTACTGAATGATGGGCTCACTCTCCTGAGTGCATAGAACCCAATACTATGACAACATCTTTGAGAAAAGAAAAAAAGATTCGGCCAGGTGTGGTGGCTGACGCCTATAATCCCAGCACTTTAGGAGACCGAGGCAGGCAGATCCCGATGTCAGGGGTTCAAGACCAACCTGGCCAAAATGGTGAAACCCCGCTTCTGCCAAAAATACAAAAATTAGCTGGGTGTGGTTGTGTGTGCCTGTAATCCCAGCTACTTAGGTGGCTGAGGCAGGAAAACTCCTTGAACCTGGGAGGCAGAGGTTGCAGTGAGCCAAGGTAGCACCACTGTACTCCAGCCTGGGCAACAGAGACTCTGTCTCAAAAATAAATAATAATAATCCAGTTTTCTTTGTCAGTTTAGCTAATTTTAGTTTAAATATACCATTTGTTCACTCAACCTTTATAGAATACCAAGGATAATGAAGTTAATGCTAGTGTCATTGGGTCTGTAAAATTTTATGTGTGATAACCTGCCCAGTAAACTGAATTCTCATACCATTAGAGATTTCTCCAGAATTGCCCAGAAAGGAAACACATTTTATAATCACTTATTTGCTATGACTGCATCATAAGCCTTTCTAAAAAGGTAAGCTACAACTCATCCTGAAAATGGAAACACAATCACAAGAATTTTAGCCTTTTTACACGGCTCACTGTCATCATTGGTCCATGACAACCCCCTTTCTTGCAGCTATATATGTGTATGTCTACCTATTCATATCTATATCTATATCTATCTGTTTCCTTTTATTACCATTATTCACTTCCACTCACCTTTCCATATATTGCCACTCTACTCTTTGACCTAGCCTTGAATTTGCATGTGACCTTATATAATATAAGTATATGGAAAGTATATAGCATATATACTTGCATTTTTATGTGTATTTATTTTAATCCACATATATGCTATAGCGTAGGGTGCTAGAGAAGAGGGCCTCACAATTAATTGTCCAGTCCCAGACACTTTGGAGAGTGAATGGACATGCTGTTATAATTATTAGTAGTATTTTTTGGAGATGGAGTCTTGCTCTGTGGCCAGGCTGGTGTGCAAAGGTGCTATCTTGGCTCAATGCAACCTCCACCTCTCGGGTTCAACTGTTTCTCCTGCCTCAGCCTCCCAAGTACCTGAGATTACAGATGCCTACCACCACGCCCGGCTATTTTTTGTATTTTTAGTAGAAATGGAGTTTCTCCATGTTGGCCATGCTGGTCTCAAACTCCTGATCTCAGGCGTTCCACCTGCCTTGGCTTCCCAAAGTGCTGGAATTACAGGTGTGAGCCACCGTGCCCGGCCTCTCACGTGCCTTTTTAAGTTGATGGGAAAATGACACCCAGGATAATTTATGGCCATAGTGAGAATTATTGGAAATCTTTAAGACTGTTTTTCTTACAAAACCACAATGGTAGGATTAAACAGTCTGAATGGGATGCTAGCATGTAGAGCCTTCTAAACTCTCTTTCTCTCCTTTTTTGGGGAATTTGGGATCTGCCTACTGATTACAATTAATTGCACTTTTTTAACTGTTTGATTAAGATTTTTTTTTTTCAACAGTCTGACTCTGCTGCCCAGGCTGGAGTACAGCACTGGTGTGAGCATGGCTCACTGCAGCATCAATCTTCTGGATTCAAGGGATTCTCCCACCTCAGCCACCCAAGTAGCTGGGACTACAGATGCATGCCACCATGTGTAGGGAAAAGAAAGAGAGATCAGACTGTTACTGTGTCTATGTAGAAAAGGAAGACATAAGAAACTCCATTTTGACCTGTGCCCTGAAGAATTGCTTTGCCCTGAGATGCTATTAATCTGTAACTTTGCCCCAACCTTGAGCTCACAAAAACATGTGTTGTATGGAATCAAGGTTTAAGGGATCTAGGGCAGTGCAGGATGTGCCTTGTTAACAATATGTATACAGGCAATATGCTTGGTAAAATCATCGCCATTCTCCATTCTCGATAAACCAGGGGCACAATGCACTGTGGAAAGCCACAGGGACCTCTGCCCTGGAAAGCCGGGTATTGTCTAAGGTTTCTCCCCATGTGATAGCCTGAGATATGGCCTTGTGGGATGGGAGAGACCTGACCATCCCCCAGCCCAACTCCCGTGAAGGGTCTGTGCTGAGGAGTATTAGTAAAAGAGGAAGGCCTCTTGCAGTTGAGATAAGAGGAAGGCCTCTGTCTCCTGCCTGTCCCTGGGAATGGAATGTCTCGGTATAAAACCCAATTGTAGATTTGTTCTATTCTGAGATAGGAGACAAACTGTCCTGTGTTGGGAGGTGAGACATGTTGGCAGCAATGCTGCTCTGTTATTCTTTTCTCCACTGAGATGTTTGGGTGGAGAGAAGCATACATCTGGCCTACATGCACATCCAGGCAGAGTACCTTCCCTTGAACTCATTTGTGACACAGATTCCTTTGCTCACGTTTTATGCTGAGCGCCGGTCCCCTGGGCCCCCTGTTCTTTCTCCATACTTTGTCTCTGTGTCTTATTTCTTTTCACAGTCTGTCATCCCACCTGATGCGATATACCCACAGGTATGGAGAGGCTGCTCCCCTTCAACCATGCCCATCTAATTTTTTAAAAAAGAGGCAGGGCATTGGTGGCTCACTGGTGTAATCCCAGCCCTTTGGGAGGCCAAAGCAGGTGGATCACTTGAGGTTAGGAGTTTGAGACCAGCCTGGCCAACATGGTGAACCGCCGTCTCTATCCAAAATATAAAAATGAGCTGCTCATGGGGGTGGGTGGCTATAATCCCAGCTACTCAGGAGGCTGAGGCATGAGAATCGCTTGAGCCTGGGAGGCAGAGGTTGGAGTGAGCTGAGATTGTGCCACTCCATTCCAGCCTGGGTAACGGAGTGAGACTCCATCCCGCCCCTCAAAACAAATGTTTTGTAGAGATAGGGTTTTGCCATGTTGCTCAGGTTGGTCTCGAACCCCTGCGCTCAAACGATCCTCCCACCTTGGCCTCCCAAAGTGTTGTAGTTACAGGCATGAGTCATTGCTCCCACCAAGAATTTTTTTTCTTTAAATTGCTGGTTTAATAAAGAGTTGTTTATTTTCAGGGAAAAGGTCCCAAACATCAAGCTGTTCACAAAAATAACCCACGGTATCAACTTTAGAAAACACATTTGAAGACTATAACACCAATTATGTTTCTGAGGATGCATTTGACATGCCAACTCTCATTCACAAAAATACATTGTTAGATTTTTGTTGAACTGCCCCACACAGCACACTAATATGGGGTGTAACACACATACTTGTAACTCCAAGCTGCTTTCAGGAGCTACTCAACTCAATGAGATTGCCTTTGCAGTTAGGGAAGCAACTACTGAACTTATGTATGAAAGAAAAGAACTGTATTCCCTGCATAACAAGAGATTATTTTGGAGACAGTTGATAAAAACCATACATCCTTTTTACTGTTAAGTCATAAAGAGGTGTCAAAATTAAAAGCAAAAATTACAGGGTAAGACTTAGGAAAACTACTAGGGGTGTCATGGGAAGTGAAAATGGGACTAGGCGCAGGGCAATATGAATTAATGAATGTGGGAAGGACAAGGATGGGGAGAACAGTAAGCATGTGCTGAAGATACTAAGGGAGAGGATCTGGTGAAAAATTTGTTGTTAGACAAGCTCCTAGGTAAAGAAACAATGGGATAAGATTTCTCAACCCCACTATGTGCTTAAGAGTCATCCTGGCCATTGGTGCTGTCTCTGTTATCCTCTCCTTCCTCAGCATCTTTTTCATTATTCTTGATCAAATGAAGCTGGTTGTCCCCCTGATCTTCATTATCATCATCATCCAGTGGGTCCCCCTCCTCAGCAGAGTCTTCTGCACCCCCCTCAGACTCCATCTTTACATGAGTCTCATCTTTCTTCATGGAGCTACTGCTCTGCTCCTCTTCTGACTTAGCATTTTTCACCTCTACCTCTTGTTTGCTCTGTTCCTTTTCAATTTTTTCCAGGTTTTCCAGGAGAGAATCCACTTTCTGTTTTATCTGGGTCAACTCCTGCTTAATGGCCTGAAGGTCATCTCCTTTCAGCTTTCCAGACTTGGAAGATCCCCGCTTTCCACTCTTAGAATTGAAGCCACTTTTGCCCCTTCGTGAGGTGTTTCCTGATATGCGCTGGCGTTTCGAGGGCACTACAGCCAGAGCAATGGGAGGAGGAGGAGGTACACGTGCTGGGAAACTGTACATCCCATCATAATAATCCCGTTGAAAGCCATAGTCCAAGTCAAAAGAGGAGCCGTACATCTCCGCTGCGGATCGTTTCACACCTGCGTTTCCTCGGTTCACTTTTGGCTCTGCAGCCAGGTTAATAACTGCAACCTGGCTAGCAATCATTCTGCCATCCTCTCCTGCTACAGCAGCCCGGGCATTTTTCTCCTTATCATATTGAACGAAGGCAAAGCCCTTATGAACAGAGCAGCCCGCAATTTTGCCATACTTGGAAAAGATCGCCTCCACATCAGATTTCTTGACAACAAGAGTGTTGAGATTCCCAATGAACACACGGGAGTTCACGGAGTGAGGATCCATCTTGTTGGTAACGTTGCTGGCCATTGTGTTGGATGATAAGGTTTCTCAAAAAGCCAAAAACAGGAGGCGGGAGGGAGAAGAGATTCGATTCTAAGTCTCCTACTGCCGGGTTCTACGGGGAGAAACTGACTGCGGCTCGAGGCCAGAAATGCAGCCAAAACAGCTCAGTCTTCGTCTCTTCACAAAATGGCTGCCAACAAGAATTCTGAAATGATGTAAAGAAAAGCACAACAACATTTTTGAAATCACGACAAAATTGCATTTAGAAAAAAAAATCAAAGCTTCAAAGTGTTCATATGAAAAAAAGAAAAAAAGACATGATATAGTTCTATGCCATCGTAGGCTGCACTGTCACCGTTCTAGACCGGCTGACTGTAGGTCACATGGGAGTGTCCTTACAGAAATTAGTGACTTACCAGATCTGGTTGTAGTTTAGAAGGTGCTCAGACCTCAGGAAGAGCCAAGCAGGAACTCCAGGCTTGAAGACTTTGAGTTTGTCCTGTGGGTCTTTAGAAGCTTTTATTGACCTTTCTAATCACAACTCCCACCCACGCCCCTCCACGTATCCGCTGCTAGCTTCCAATCAAAAAGCGATATCTGATTGCATTTCTGAAGCTCCACTCAGTTAATCCTGATTGGGTTTTTGACTGTCCGAAGACTAATGGATTGAACGAGATATCCATTCATATCACATATGCATAATCATTTTATGAATTAAGAAATTGACAGAGTTAGGGATAGAGTGGAAATCAAGAATTCATTCACTCAAGGCCAGGTGAGGTGGCTCACACTTGTAATCCCAGCACTTTGGGAGGCCAAGGTAGGTGGATCACCTGAGGTCAGGAGTTCAAGACCAGCCTGGCCCACATGGTGAAACCCTGTCTCTACAAAAATAGAAAAGTTAGCCAGGCACGATGGTGGCTGCCTGTAGTCCAGTTACTCATGCGGCTGAGGTGGGAGAATCCCTTGAACCCTGGAGGCTGAGTTTGCAGTGAGCCAAGATTACACCATTGCCCTCCTGACTGGGCGACAGAGGGAGATTTTGTCAAAAAAAATGCATTCATTCATGAAATCCACAAACACTGATGGAATTTTACTGCTATTTCGCCTTCAAGTCCTGATGTGAGGCAGGGAAGGGGTTGATCTGTTCCAGACATTAGACAGAAAAATAAAACCTGAAAGTAGTGTTGTGGGGAGATCTTTGGCCACATCAAAATTATAAAATTTATAAAAATATTTCTAGTTAAAATAGCTGTATAAACACAGAGGAGTCGTCCCTACAAAATAAGAATAAAGATCTCCATGTATGGAATGGTCTTGTGGGTTTTATATCACCTAAGGTAGCAGTTTCTTCACTCGTGCTGGTGGAAGAGAGGTGCCACTGAGGGCTTGAGTGGTCTCAGGGCTTAGGTTAAGTCTTCTCTGGAAGAAATTGAAATGATACCTGTAAACTTTATAAGTTTAATCAGTGAAGAAGGGAGGGGGAGAAACAAAAATAAACCAAGCTTGCAGCGCATTCAGCATTCACCATGAGGTCAGCTTGCTCTCTGACCTTCTTCCTCATGGTTGCTGGCAGCTTACTGTCCCCAAATCAAGTAGACCTTAGCTTACAGTTCCCCTTAACTACCCTGCAGACAACAATTTAAGCCTTGTAAAACATTAACTTTCTCATTTGAGATATTCTTTCAGGTTCTGCATGTCAGTGAAACTACTGATGCCAGCTGATCTGAAGGGCTCTGCAAGGCACCAACTCACCAAAGAATGCAGTTTTGACATCCTGATGACTTCATCCCTCTTACCTCTACACCAACTTTCCAGCCCCTTGCTATCCAGGATCCACTGGAAACCCTCAGTACTACTTGGGGAGATGAATTTGAGGATATCCTCCTAGCTTCTCATTTAGCCACCCTGTGATCATTAAACTGTCTGCTGCAAACACTGCTGTCTCAGAATATTGGTCAGCTACTGTGCAGCAGGCATAGGAACCTGATGGTCCTGTAATAAAATCATGTCAAAATTACAAAGAGAAGTGAGGGTAGAGGATGGGCATGGTTGAGCTGGGTGTTTTAATGGGATCCTGGGAGTTAACCAAGACTTGGTAAACATGTTGGGGGTTACTGAGGGGGTGGAGGTGGAATCTATCCAACATTTCACTGATGCCCCTTTACTTTTGATTCTTAGGACCAAGGTTGAGTCTTTCAAAACAATTTGTATAATCCTCCTTATTTTTCCTTTCAAAACCTTTGTCTTCCTTTTTCTCCCAAAATAATCTCACATCTATTCCCATTGCTTTCCTCATTTCAGGATAAACACATCTTTTTTTTTTTTTTTTCTGACAGTCTCCTTCTCTGTTAAGTTTACCATATATTTTGTTGCCACTGAAGATGAGTAACTTGGTTTTATGGACAGGAAGGGTGAAAAGGATCCCATTCCTCAACAGCTGGAGGTGATATGAAGGTCATTGTTATTCTTTGTCATATCTGCACCTGCATATTGCCAGTGAAAACCTGAAGGTCTCATTGGGGCAAGCTTAAAAATTAGCCACCTATAGAAGGTCTTAGCATTGGCTTACATCCTGTCCCTGAGTAAAGAATCTGATCATGAGTTCATGAGTACCTCAAACTCTACAAGTACTGATGAAGTCTTCACCCGCTGACAGTGAGAAGGACACTGATTTTATTCTGATCATGAAGTCATGCTGGTTGTCTTGCAAGGAAAATGTTTTAGCCTGTTATGTTGTCATCTAAAGCTAACGATTGTAACCTCTGTCTTGTACCTTCCAATGGGAAAAACAAAAACAAAAACTCAACTCTATTTGAGCCTTGCCAGGTCAATAAAACAAAAGAAAATTAAAAAAAATTGATAGGAGGAGTCCCATTCCCTTCTTTTAACCTCTCTTACAAAAGCATTCCAACTTGTAACAGACTTTGGAAAACACTCACTTTGTCAGTGTGTGTCTTCCAGGTCGATTCTCACATTTAGCTTCCAATAAAGCTTTATTTAATTATTTCTACCTCAATGGCCTTAACTTCTATTGATACCAGGTTGCATGGTAATGGTTTGAATTGGGGTGGGAAGAAAAAGTATTTCTATGAGTTTTATAAAGTAATCCTTGCATGCCATCTGCATTGAAGAATGAATAGGTTCCTCTCCAAATATGTCCTGAGTATTGATGCATCCAATAAATAAAACTATTATGTATTTCACATAGTAGAGCTATAGACACATTCTATTTGCCTCTAGAGTTTCCAATGAACCAATGTCTAGTTTCAGTAAGTTCTCTGATTAAATGGCAGAGGGTAACATGGTCATGTTCTGATTCTATGTCTATGTCGATACCTATAGCACTCCAGTCTTCATAAGGTGTGTCAAACCAAAGAGTTTGATTCTAGTGGGAATCTGCGACACTACCTAGATTAGATCCAGTTTCACTAATGTTTTTTATGCATAGAGATAAAATGCCAGTAATGTAATCAATAATAGTCATAGGCCACCCATTTGCACCTATAGCTTCTTCTCAGTGCCAAGTCATGTAATTATAAATGTTAACCAACCTTCCAAAGGAAGGATAACAAACCTTATCATGAAGTTGGCATCCTCAATTGCTACCCAACTGTTTATGAGAGCATGTTCTACTATTTAGTTGTGATCCTTCCCTTTCATGTAAATGACTCCATAGCCAGCAATTGCTTTGGTTAGTGAGAGTGGCTACATTTTGAACAGAAGACCTTAGAAAGTGTTTGGTTTGAGTGGAGAAAGTACCTAACAACATAAAATATAGGTTTGAGCATTTTGTTTTAATACAAAACAAAACCAAGTCTCAGTCAATGGAAGAAGATCAAATGGAGTCTTGTTCCATTGTCTTGGAAAACTGTCTACCATGTGATGATGTCTGCTTCTAAGGAAGGCTTTTCCTTGGTTATCCTTAGTTTTAAGTCATCTGGTACAGTCCCATCCAGTGCTGCTCATGGGCAGATTTCCCTTGGTATCATTTCTAAAGGATGCAATCTCCAAATTCTAGGGCATGAAGGTCTAAGCATCACTGAAAGCCTCCCTCACCTACTGGAAAGACTTTGAAATACTGCATCAAGGTCTTGCAGTATTGAATCATGTTGTTACTGAACGATGGGCTCACTCTCCTAAGTGCATAGAAGTCCTTTGAGAAAAGAAAAAAAGATTAGGCTGGGCAAGGTGGCTCAAGCCTATAATTCCAGCACTTCAGGAGGCTGAGGCAGGGAGATCACAAGGTCAGGGGTTCAAGACCAACCTGGTCAACATGGTGAAACCCCGTTTCTGCTAAAAATACAAAAATCAGCTGGGTGTGGTGGTGTGTGCCTGTAATCCTGGCTACTCAGGAGTCTGAGGCAGGAGAATCTCTTGAACCCGGGAGGCAGATGTTGCAGTGAGCTGACATAGCACCACTGTACTCCCGCTTGGGCATCAGAGACTCTGTGTCAAAAAAAAGAAAAAGTAATCCAATCTTTTTTGTTAATTTAGCTAATTTAATTTTAAGATACCATTTATTCACTCAACCTTTGTAGAATACCAATGATAATGAAGTTAATGGTAGTGCCATTAGATCTGTAAAATCTTATCTGTGTGATCGCCTGCCCAGTAAACTGAGTTCTCCTACCATTGGAAATTTCTCCAGAGGTTCGCCAGAAAGGAAACACATTTTATAATCATTTATTCACTATGACTATGGCATCAGCCTTTCTAAAAAGGTAAGCTACAACCAATCCTGAAAATGGACACACAATCACAAAAATTGTAGCCTTTTTACATGGCTCACTGTCATCACTGGTCCATGACATTCCCTTTTCTTGCCGCTATATGTGTGTATGTCTACCTATCCATAACTATATCTACACCTTTTTTTATTACCATGATTCACTTCCACTCCCCTTTCCATAGATAGCCACTCTACTCTTTGACCTAGCCTTGAATTTGCATGTGACCTCTTAGAATATAAATATATAGAAAGTATATAGAATATATACTTGAATTTTGTATGTGTATTTATATTAATCCACATATATGCTATAGTGTATGGTGCTACAGAAGAGGGCCTGACAAGTAATTGTCCAGTCCTAGATACTTTGGAGAGTGAATGGACATGTTCTTATAATTTTTTTTTTTTTTGGAGATGGAGTCTCACTCTCTCGCCAGGCTGGAGAGCAATAGTTCAATCTTGGCTCACTGCAAACTCTGCCTCCTGGATTCAAGTGATTCTCCTGCCTCAACCTACCGAATACCTGGGATTACAGGTGTCCACCACCATGCCCAGCTATTTTTTGTATTTTTAGTAGAGAGATAGTTTCGCCATGTTGGTGAGGCTGGTCTCGAACTCCTGACCTCAGGTGATCCGCCCACCTTGGCCTCCCAAAGTGCTGGGATTACAGACGTGAGCCACCGTGCCTGGCCTTGTTATAATTAAGATTTTCAGAACAACAGTGGTGTATGAAGGCTTATAATCACCTTTACCATAGGCCTTGGTCTCTTACCTAAGTTTGTAACTAATATATTTTTCAAATATAATAACAATAAAAATATCCTTGCTTGCCCTATGTCAAATCCAGCTCGAAGTACTTAAATAGATTAATTTATAGCACTCTGTGAAGTCAATATTGCTATTATCCCATTTTATATGTGAATGAGCTAAGGCACAGAGAGGTTAAGTAAGTTGAGTAAGACCACACAGCCATTGGCCACTGAGCCAGTTTTTTTTCTTTTTTCTGAGACAGCGTCTCATGCTGTCGCTCAGGCTGGAGTGCAGTGGCGCGATCTCAGCTCACTGCAAGCTCTGCCTCCCGGGTTCACTCCATTCTGCTGCCTCAGCCTCCCGAGTAGCTGGGGCTACAGGCACCTGCCACCATGCCCGGCTAATTTTTGTGTTTTTAGTAGAGACGGGGATTCACCGTGTTAGCCAGGATGGTACTGAGCCAGTTTTGAACCTAAATTAAGCAGTCTGGGTCTGCTGGATCTGGAGTCTTTACTATTAACCAAAATACCTACGTGCGTCCAAATCCTAAGGTGCTGAGGTTCTTACCTTGTTTCATATCTCAGTAGGAAGGGAGCTAATGTTTATCCATTACATCTGATGTTTAATGCAAGTTTTCAACATACAACATTTCAGTTTCCGAAATATGTTATGATAAATTTAATTTGATTTTTCTGCAATTCTTTTCTGCATTTTGTAGGAACCTTGCTTTTCCCCCTTTAGTTTGTCAGTATGCTGAATTACACTTAGATTTTCCTGTGATTGGCTGGCATTCCTGGAATGGCCATTATATATCACTATATTGCTTTCTTTTTTTCTTTTTTTTTTCTTTTTAAGGTGGAGTTTCACTCTTTTTGCACAAGCTGAAGTGCAATGGCATGATCTCGACTCACTGCAACTTCCACCTTCTTGGTTCAAGCAAATCTCCAGCCTCAGCCTCCTGAGTTGCTGGGATTACAGGCATGCGCCACCACACCTGGCTAATTTTGTATTTTTAGTAGGGATGGGGTTTCTCCATGTTGGTCAGGCTGGTCTCGAACTCCAGACCTGAGGTGATCCACCTGCCTCGGCCTCTCAAAGTGCTGGGATTGCAGGCATGAGCCACGGAGCCTGGCCTGTCTATCACTTTCTAATGCAGTGTTGCATTTAGTTAACTGATAATTTATTAAGTACTTTTTTCTGGCTGACCGTGGTGGCTCATGCCTGTAATCCCAGCACTTTGGGAGGCCGAGGCAAGTGGATCACCTGAGGTCAGGAGTTCTAGCCAACACAGAGAAATTCTGCCTCTTCTAAAACTACATAAATTAGCTGGATGTGGTGGCATGTGGCTCTAATCCCAGCTACTAGAGAGGCTGAGGCAGGAGAATTGCTCGAATCTGGGAGTAAGAGGTTGCAGTGAGGTGAGATTGTGCCACTGCACTCCAGCCTGCATGACAGAGTGAGTCTCTGTCTCAAAAAAAAAAAAAAAGAAAGAAAAAAGAAAAAAAACTTTTGCCAAATAAGTTTAAATTTACTTTCCTTCTAATATCCTTAGCCATTTTTAAAATATGGGTTACTGCTCTCTTATGAAATGAATTAGACAACTTTCCATATTTGCCTTTCTTTCTGGAACATCTTGTACAAAACAGAAAATACCGGCCAGGTGCAGTGGCTCATGCCTGCAATCCTAGCACTTTGGGAGACTAAGGCAGGCGGATCACTAGCTTCCAATCAAAAAGTGATATCTGATTGCATTTCTGAAGCTCCACCCAGTTAATCCTGATTGGGTTTTTGGCTCTCCCCAGATTAATGGATTGAATCAGATATCCATTCATATCAGATATCCATATTAATTGCATGAATCAGGAAATTGACAGTGTTAGGGATAGGGTAGAAGTCAAGAATTCACTCATTCAAGGCCGGGTGAGGCAGCTCACGCCTGTAATCCTTCCAGAAGGACTTCCCTGTACTGGTTTAGGCTTTGCATACCCTGTCTTTCATTTGGGTCCCACTGGGGGTCTGTTCCTGCTAGTTGGATCCTCACATACCCTCGGGGATTTTGTAATCAGCTGGAACATGTTCTTCCAGCCACTTAGTTGCCACTTGGAGCACTCTCCACCTTTCATCTGTGTTAAAGAGGTGCATGAGCACCTGGTGGCAATCAGCCCAGGTGGGGTTGTGGGTCTGGATAACAGTTTGGAGCAAATAAATTATAGCTTGAGGCTTTTCGGTATAGGATGGGGTATTGTTTTCCAATGGAGGAGATGGGCAGAGGTGAAGGGTTGGTACACAAAGGCACGTCTTTCCACCATAAGCCCATCCTCGTCTACTCCAGTATACTGTTGCTCTCTCAGGGACATTTGTATCCCAGTTCTAGGCCTCATACGGGCAGCCAAGGGAGGGTCTTGCATCCTGAGGTCTTGCACCCTTTCTTCTCTACTCTGGGCAGCCTAGGGGTATGTAGGCCTTGTGGAAGCTTGGGCGCAGTGGGCTCAGGAGTGGGAGGCCTTCCTTCTTGGTGAAAGGGGGGGGCACTGGCACAGTGTCTTGCCAGTGTTCCTTTGCTTAGTTTCTTTTTTTAACTGTTGTTTGTGATTTTCCATCTTCCTGAGACCAACCACTACTTGCTGGACCTTCTGAATTGGGAAAGAATGGAAAGTCTGTCAGCCAGTTTTTTCCAACATTTAGGTTGTTGAACTGCTTAGGGGATCCTCTGAGCCTCTCACCTGAGGGGTCTGCCAATCATTTGTTGTCTGAACATGGGCAGATTCCTCTTGCTAGCCAAATCTCAGGGTCACCAACATGCTTTAGATTATTTGTGAGGGAGAGCTGAGATCTTGGATGAATGATACCAGCCCCTGCTGTGCCTCGTGGATGCTCAGTCACCAGAGACACTCACGATCACCCTTGGTGCTGAGCTCAACCTCAGCCTCAGGCTCACAAAGTGAGGGCAGGCAAAGTAGAAGCCCCACTGAACACATTTCAGTTTAACTCAATTGCACACATAGCAGGGCATTGACAGTGAGGTCAGAAATGTGGAGAAAGAACATTTACAGAAACATTTCAAGATAGAGAACACCCTTCAAAGTACTCCAGTTTTGGAGGCCAGTGGCATCTCAGAGCTGTTTGGTTTTCATATAGAATGGGAGAGAAAGGCCTGGAGGACTTTCTGGAGGCAGGGGAGGTTCTTGCTACTTTGTGCCCTAAAACATCGGAAGAATCACTGTGTGATCCCTCTTAGGATGGGAGCCATCCGTGAACTTAGCAGATATTTCAACATGAAATAGAGCTTCCAGGTTTTGTGGGGGAAATGTATTTTAGGTGTGCACCCAATATAACAGTATATATGCGCTGCTCTTAAAGACAAGAAGGCTCGCTCTTTTTCTTTCTTTCTTTCTTTCTTTCTTTCTTTCTTTCTTTCTTTCTTTCTTTCTTTCTTTCTTTCTTTCTTTCTTCTTTCTTTCTTTTTCTTCCCTTCCTTCTTTCCTTCTTTTTCTTTCTTTCTTTCTTTTTCTTACTTTCTTTCTTCTTTCTTTTTCTTTCTTTCCACCTTTCTTTCTGTTTCCTTCTGTCTTTTTCTCTCCCCTCCCTCCCTCCCTCCCTCCCTTCCTTCCTTCTTTCCTTCCTTTTTTTTGAGGCAAGGTTTCATTCTGTTGAGCAGGCTGGAGTGCAGTGGCACAATGATGGCTCACTGCAGTCTCAACCTCCTGGGCTCAGGTGATCCTCGCATCTAAACTTCTTGGGCAGCTGGGACTACAGGTGCACACCACCATGCCTGGCTAATTTTTCGTATATAGTTTTTATAGACAGAATTTTCCATGTTGCCCAGGCAGGTCTCAAACTCCTGCGCTCAAGTAATCTATCTGCCTTGGCCTCCCAAAGTGCTGAAATTAGAGATATGAGCCACCACACATGGCCTGAGTTTTCTTTGTATACCTAATGGTATCACTTTAATCAGAATCTCTCTGTTCAATATCAGGGACAAGGGAGGACTTTAAGGATGGCAGAACATTAATTATCAAAATATGCTGGGGAATGGCACGAGGGTATTGATGAGGATGAGGGGCCCTGGGAAACACCTGTGGGTGAGGGTTGCTGGGAAATGTCCCACTGTGGGAAGATCCCTGAGTCTAAAAGAAAGGTTTCCAGACCATAGCACCATGACAGAGACTTGGACCCTTGTTCACTTTCTCCCACATCCTGCAAAACCCACAGCTCCCACCTTCGATGGCTTCCAGGTTGGGAAAGTCTCCCTTCCCAGGTCTGGCCACACTGCTTCTCTCTGGCATCTGCCCCAGCTCAGATTCTCAGATTCCATCTTCCCAGGCTGATTTTCTGAGGCGAGCCCATCATTTTTGGGAGTAAACACGCTTTCCCTTCTAGTAGGGGCCAAGACTGTTTCTGCCTTCTCTGCCCTCAAAGACAATGTTGTGTTTGAAGAGTCTGCACTGTCTCTTCTGTAACTATTCCCTTTTTAATTTTTAAACTCAATCCAGACAGAGTCTTTCAATCCTTCTGTGGAGATGCCCACAAAATACCCACCATGTTTTATGCTGTCTTGGTTCCTTCCCAGGGTTCTACTAGAACACCCGGTCCCATCCTGCCCAGCCCCCACCTCACTTTGTCATTCTGTCCTGATTTCCTGCAGTGAAGCCTTGACCTTAGTCTTGTGATCAATAACACCCTCAGTGGTTCCCCTCTTCAACCTGAACCCACATATGACCTGCCCCGTTAGGAAGCATAAAACCCAGGTAACTGTTGGATAACAGAGCTTTGTATTCTGTTTTCTTAGGGTTGACATCACCGTCTTTTTAAAGCTGTCTTAGCTCTGAAACGTTTGGATAATTTCAATGTGGCCAAATATTCTCCCATAAAGATATCATCAGGTTTTGTTTTTTCTTTCTAATGCCAGGAACAGATTAAACCTTCCATGTCACTATGAAGGTCACATGTTAGTCAAACTTCATCAGTGTTTGGGGAATAAATGAATTAATGACTTTTGGACTTTCACCCTGTTATTTATTCTTTCACTTTCATAAATGCACATCTAATTTAATCAATGAATCAGAAGAAAGTGTGAAACTCAATCAGGATTAACTGGGTGGAACTTCAGGATCTAATCAGGTATCACTTTCTGATTGGAAGCTGGTGATTGAGAAGGGGAGGGTGTGGTTAGAAACATCAACAAAAGCTCCTGAGTTTGCACAGGACAGACCCAAAGCCCTGGTGCCTGGAGCTACTGCTTGGTTCTCTGAGAGGTCCCAGCACCCTGCAAACTGAGTCCAGATCTGGTAAGTCACCACCTTCTTAGGAACATGCCCGTCTAATCTGCAGCCAGCCAGTCAGGGATGGTGACACACAGCCCAAAATGGCACAGAGAATTTCCTGTCTGTTTTTTCAGATTAAACAGATGTAGGTTTTGATTTTTCCTCCAAATATAGTTTTGACTTCATCCCTCAAATTTTGATTTGTGCTTCATTTTCCTCATTTCAAAATTCTTATTGAAGCAGTTTTTAAAAAAAAAATATTAAAAATTTACAGTTGGATGGATGTTTATGTCTTGACATGTGAAGTTGTTGGTTTCTGTGCCTGTCAGCTATAGTTCACACACTTAGCGGTATTGTGATTTTATTAGTCAGGCTTTCATTTTACAGAAATCTTAGATCTCCCGTACACCATTCTCAAGAGACTTGTTCCGAACCTGGGATTTATCTCTTCCCTTAGACTCTGTCCCTAAGTGTGTGATTGTGAGTATGTGGAAGGGATGTGTATTGGATCCTTCTCCTCAGACTTAGTGTTTCCATTTCTACCTTCCAAGTGCTCTAGACTACTGCAACACTGCTTTTATAATTTCTCTTACAGTTTTTCAAAATAAAAACACACACCTTGGACTCCCAAAGTGCTGGGATTACAGGAGTGAGCCACTGTGCCTCATCTAGAGTTAGTATTTCTATCCCTACCTTCCAAATGCTCTAGAATACCATCACGTCGCTTTTAGTTTCTGGTTAATTCTTTTCTCTTGTTCTGAGATGGAGTCTCACTCTGTCACCCAGGCTGAAGGGCAGGGTGTTGAGTTCAGCTCACTGAAAACACTGCCTCCGGGATTCAAGTGATTCTTCTTCCTCTGCCTCCAGAGTAGCTAGGATTATAGGACTGCACCACCACACCTGGCTAACATTTTAATTAATTAATTATTATTATTATTATTATTATTATTATTATTATTTGAGACAGAGTCTAACTCTTTTGTCCAGACTGGAGTGCAGTGGTGGGATCTCGGCTCACTGCAACCTCTGCCTTTTGGAGTCAAATGATTTTTAATTTTTTTATATTTAGTAGAGACAGAGTTCATTACGTAAGCCAGGCTGTTCTCGAACTCCTAACCTCAAGTGATCTGCCTGTTTTGGCCTCCCACAGTGCTGGGATTACAGACATGAGCCACAGCACCCGGTCAGTTTCTGGTTGAAATTTTTCAAAATAAAAAATAATGGCATTGACTTTAGGGAGTCCCTTTAGTGTTCCCCCAGCATGTTCATGGTGAAAACTGAGAATGGAGGCTGTCTGGGGCCACAGGACACTCTCATTCTCATTGCTTTAGGGCGGTAAGTGACAAGAAAATTTTCCTCAAAGAGGTAGAGCTTGGCTTTCAGGATCCTCAGTGACACTTTCCAGTGGTACTGGGATTCAGTGGAGCCATGGATGAAAATTAATGGGCCAGTGGTCTCTTTGACCCCTCCCTCCTTGGTGTTTGGAAGACATTCTTCCTGGTACCAGCAGAAGCAGAAATATAGATTTGTGGCCACCAAGTGCAGAGTGGAATTGGGGTAAAGTGGTAATTTTTCTACCTCTACCAGAGCAATGCTACTGGCCTTAGGAGAAGATGAGGTGATTGTGTTTGGCCTGAAAGTGATGCCTTTTCTCTGGATTTGTCTTCTAGAGTTTTTCCTTACAGATTCATCAGGATGAGCATCCAGGCCCCACCCAGACTCCTGGAGCTGGCGGGGCAGAGTCTGCTGAGAGACAAGCCCTTGGCCATCTCTGCCCTGGAGGAGCTGCCCAGGGAGCTCTACCTCCCACTCTTCCTGGAGGCCTTCAGCAGGAGACACTTCCAGACTCTGACAGTGATGGTGCAGGCCTGGCCCTTCACCCGCCTCCCTCTGGGATCGCTGATGAAGACGCTTCATCTGGAGACCTTAAAAGCATTGCTGGAAGGGCTTCACATGCTGCTTACACAGAAGGATCGCCCCAGGTGAGGTGACCCAGGAAGGCTGGTAGATGGGGCTCAGGTGTCCAGGGAAAGAACAGCAGGGTCAGGCAAAGAAGTATCCCAAGGATGGCCCAGTGTCTTCTGGTGGTGCTGGTGACGAAGCTCAGGCATGCCTTGGCCATTGCCCAGATCCTCAGGGAAAGAACTGCCCACAATATAGGGTCCACTGTGGGAACAGAAACTTGCCTATTCCCAGTGGAAGGTAAATGGAATAGAAGTGGGGACCAGTCAGAATTGAAAGAGAAAAGGGACCAAGAAAACTCAGAGAGAACAGGGAGCAGCGAGGACAGGAGCAGCTGATTTATTGGATGAGAATGAAAGCAAAGGTCAGGGATTTGTCCTTCAAAGTTCTGAGCCTCTGCCTTACTTTACCCACAGGAGGTGGAAACTTCAAGTGCTGGATTTGCGGGATGTTGATGAGAATTTCTGGGCCATATGGTCTGAATCCAGGGCCCTGTCCTCCTCCCCAGAGGCCATGAGTAAGAGGCAGACAGCAGAGGACTGTCCAAGGATGGGAGAGCACCAGCCCTTGAAGGTGTTCATAGACATCTGCCTCAAGGAAATACCCCAGGATGAATGCCTGAGATACCTCTTCCGGTGGGTTTACCAAAGGAGAGGTTTAGTACACCTGTGCTGTAGTAAGTTGGTGAATTATCTAACGTCGATTGAATATCTCAGAAGATCATTGAAAATAATCCACCTGAATAGTATTCAGGAGCTGGAAATTTGCTATGTGTCCTGGCCACATCTGATAAGAAAGCTTCATTGTTACCTGAAGGAGATGAAGAATCTTCGCAAACTCATTTTTCTCCAGGTGCCATCCTTACACGTCAATTACCGCGAGGAATGCTCAGTCGCCAAAATCAGCTCTATGTTCCTCAGGCTGAAACACCTCCAGCTGCTTAAAATGAATATGGTCACCTTCCACAGAGGGCACCTGGGACAGCTGATCAGGTGAGAAAGGATCGTGCCCTTTCTCTGCAGACCACAGCGCAGCCTTTTTTTTTGTTACAGTAAACACTAGAAGACGTGTACTGTGTGCCAGCCAGTGGCGACGGCACAGTGCAGGGGACACCAGAATGTCAACACATTGTCCCGTTCAGTGCTCCATGTCCTGGAGTGGCTATCACAGGATCACTTCAATAAAGGCAGAGGGGTCACCTAGGGTAGAGGCTAGAGAGGGACATCATGTACAAGGTACTTAGTGGGCGTTTTGTCTCTACTGCATGTGCACGTGTGAATTTCTTGTTACAAAGTGTGTTTCAAGTTGATATGATGTAAAAGAGGTAACAAAGGAGGGTATGAAAGGAGGGACAGTGCATCAAACTTGTGCATTTCACAGTAGAAGCTCTGTCCTCACCAGCTTAGTGATCATGAATGATCCTGTCTCTGATTCCCTGTCTGTAGAAGGTTGTTTTGAACTCCAGGAAAGTCAATTGACATGGGACATGCATGCTTCTGGGATGGAGGGTGAAGGAGTAGGAGTGAGAGTGGTAAAAAGTGACAGTTGGTTTGCAGATGCAGGCAGGCCAGGGAGCCCCTGCCGGCAGGTAGCCCCAGCTAATGTCCCTAGACCTTGCTGAGTTGAGTTCTTTGTGCACATCTCCCACCGGGTACCTGTGGCCCAGAGATGAGGTTTTCTGCTAAAAGATGAAGATAAAAGGCTTTAGAGATTTTGTGGCCTTGACCCAATCACACAAGAAATGGTGAAAGGGCTGAGGCTAAAATGGGACAGCCCCTGAATGATCAGGGTCCTCAACATGCAGCAACTTGCATGAGGACCATCATCAGATGGTGGGAACAAACTTGTGTTTGGTTGAAGCAGGTATTTTCCTTGAGTTCATTCCCCACTACCTTCATCTAACTGGTACCATTGCCCAGAACTAACTTCTTGATCTCCACAGGTGCCTCTAGAACCCCTTGGAGAACTTGGAATTAACTTGCGGCTACCTATTGGAAGAGGACTTGAAGTGTCTCTACCAGTACCCAAGCCTCGCTTACCCAAAGCATCTGAATCTCAGCTACATGCTGCAGTTCTGTATCAGTCTTGAACCCCTCGGAGCTCTGCTGGAGAAAGTTTCTGCCAACACGAGGGTCTCGAGAGAGGCAGCAATTACTCTTAAGACCCTCATCTTGGAGGGCTGTCAGATCCACTACTCCCAACTCAGTGCCATCCTGCCTGGCCTGAGCCGCTGCTCCCAGCTCACCACCTTCTACTTTGGCAGAAATTGCATGTCTATGGAAGCCCTGAAGGACCTGCTGTGCCACACCAGTGGGCTGAGCAAGTTAAGCCTGGAGATGTATCCTGCCCCCGAGGAGAGTTTGAATTCCTTGGTTCATGTCGATTGGGAGATCTTCACCCCACTTCGGGCTTAGTTGATGTGTACACTAAGGGAAGTCAGGCAGCCCAAGAGGATCTTCATTGGCCCCGCCCCCTGCCCGTCCTGTGGCTCATCACCGTCTGAGGAACTGGAGCTCCATCTTTGCTGCTAGGGAAGGCGTGCCTAGCGGGGTAGAGAAATCCAATGTTCTCTTCTAGGCCCTTGGACACTAAAATCTAGTATGTAGGTGCAAGTTATTTTCCTCTTTTCTTATTTCCTTTTTTAATAATTCCAATATTTTTATTACAAAAAAATTGAGAAAGTGTTTCACTATGTTGCCCCAGCAGGTCTCAAACTGCTGGTCGCATGGGATTCTCCTGCCTCGGCCTTCTAAAGTGCTGGGATTACAGGCATGAGCGACTGTGCCCAGGCCACATGTGCAACTTAAAGGAAGCACAGAGCTCTGTTTCAGACAGGTGCTCAGTGCGAGGGAAAAAATCCTAAGAGCAGGGGGCAAGACTTGAGGAAAATATTGAGGTGGAGTCAATGAGAGCTACAGAGTCAGAAAGAGAAACTAAAATTCTTCAGTGATGAGAATGTTATCCCTGCAAGGATGATTACCAAGAAATATCAGAAATAGAGAACCTCAGTGAAAACTTTCTGGTGTCCTCTGTAATTGATTTACTTGTTTTAGGGATTTATACATCAGAAATCTCTAGTTATTGAGTTACTGATGGAAAAATAACGAGGCACTAGTTTGTCTGTGATTGAGGTTCAGCTGCGGAACATCATAGCAGCCAAATAAAATTAGACCATTTTGAGTAATTCCCACCCATTCTTGTTCTTTTATTTCATTATTTATTTTTTTATTTTTGGAGACAAAAATATTGCTTTGTCATTCAGGCTGGAGTGTAGTGGTGCAATCTGGGATCACTGGAATCCTTTCCTGTGGGGCTCAAGTGATTCTCGTGCCTCAACCACTCAAGTAGCTGGGAGTACAGGCACGTGCCACCAAGCCTGCTAATTTTTGTATTTTTCGTAGAGACAGGGTTTTACCCTGTTCACCAGGCTGGTCTTGAGTTCCTGGCTTTGAGTGATCTGCCAACCTTGGCCTCCCAAAGTGCTGGGATTACAGGTGTGCGAATGGTCTGCACCCATCCTTTACTTCTCTTTAGTCATCTGTTTTTTCATACTTTTTCGACTGTGGGGAGCAGCTCGGTCGGGCACAAAGGCACAGGCAGAAAGGGGCCATGAGGAGAAGATGGGCTTGGGGTGGTGCCGTGCTTGCACATGAAGTGTGGTTGTCAGGTTCCAAAGGCAGAGCTGGGGCCATGCTCCAGGGCCCCGAGTTGGGAAGCAGAAATGGCACCAAGTTCAATGACCTGGCCAGCTATGCATCAACTGTGTGCCCACCCTGCTAATAGTATCAAGTTCCTAGGTCTAAAAAGGAGTTCTGTGTGAATCTTCCTGAGGCTGCATTTCCAAGATCTGCCCCCAAGAGGGGTGAACACAGAGCCTGATGCTTCCGATTGCTGGGCCTGTGGACCACGATCCACTCCTAAAGGCACCACCTCTTGGCTGGGTTGTCAGCCAGGCCTGTGCCCCATGTCCCTGAGGCAGCCAACTGTGCCACCCATACCCTCTCACGGCTAAACGGGACTTGCCCCTAGGTCCGCAGTCTCCACCACAGCCTCGACCTCACTCCCCACTTTGTGCTGTTAGCCTGCAAACTCCTGGATCAGAGCGCAGTTGGGGCTCATTAAACCGGACCCAGGAGCTTCAGATTTGTTTCTGTGGGGTTGACCAGAGCTGCTGTGAACCTGCATCTCACCTGTCACCTCTGCACGGAAACAGAGAGAGGGCAAAGCTGAGGCTGTGCACACTTTGGAGCTGATGGGATCCTGGGACAAGAGGGAGTCCTGGTCCTCCCAAGTTGGCAGGGCAGTAGCTCCAAAGGCACAACTGAAGCTGCCCAGGTTGCAGTTACCAAACAAGGTCCCCTAGTGCTCTCGAGGGCCCAGGAGGTCCCCCCTTCCCCATTCTATTGCTCAATAAAGGTCCTCTTTATCTTGCTCACTCTCCACTTGTCTGCATATTTCATTCTTCCTGGTTGCAGGACAAGACCCGCCTAATGGTGGGGCTAAAAGCAGTAACACAAACAAAGCTGAAACACGCCCCTTGCTCACCAAGTTGTAGGTGAAGAGAAAAAGAGAAGAGCTACTACTCTTTTCAGGAGCCCAGACGTGGGAGCTTCCTGAGCCAGGGCTGTGATTCCCTTTTTGTGGTTCTGCAGTTCCCAGCACTTCCAAGAAGGCCCATAATGGCAGTTAATGCTAGAAAGGGGAGGTAGAGGAACCTGTGGAAGGAAAAAAAAAAATGGTGGGGCTGAGATGGAGGGCCTGGGTCCACCCACAGACGAAAGTCCCTTCCTAGCAGACCCTGCACTGGGCCCCGGGGATCCTGGCGTCCCTGGTTCACACCCACGCTGCATATCGCACCTATGGGGGGCACCCCAAAGCTTCTAGCAAGCCCAGAAAGGAAGACAAGACTTGAAAGGGGAGGTAGAGGCACCTGTGGAGGAAAAAAATGGGCACCGTAGAGGAGGGGTGCTTGGGTCCCCCCACAGAAGAATGTGCCTTCCCAGCAGCCCCTACGGAGTCCCCGGGATTTCTGGCATCCCTGGATCACACCCACGTTGCCTGTCATGGTGGTGGGGGCACCCGGAAGGGGCAAGAAAGCCCAGAAGGGAAGATAAGGTTTGAAAGGGGAGGTAGAGGCACCTGTGGAAGGAAAAAAATGGCGCAGTCGAGAAGGGGGGCCTGGGTCAACCCACGGATGAAAGTGCCCTCCCAGCAGACCCTGCACAGGGCCCGGGGGATCCTGGCATCCCTGGTTCACACCCACAGTGCGTGTTGCACCTGCGGGAGGCACCCCAAAGCATCAAGAAGGCCCAGAATGGAAGAGAAGGCTTGAAGCTTAAAGTAGAAGCACCTGTGGAAGGAATAAAAAACGGCACGGCAGAGGAGGTGGGCATGGGTCCCCCCATGGATGAAAGTGACTTCCCAGCAGCTCCTGAGCTTGGTCCTGGGGATACTGGTGTCCCTGGTTCGCCCCAACGATGCCTGTCCCTCCCACTGGGGGGAAACCCAAAGCAGCAACAGGCACTAGTGGAAGGTAAAAAATACGTGCGGCAGAGGAGGGGGGCCTGTGTCCCCACATGGACTAAAGTGCCTTCCCAGCAGCACTTGCACAGGGCTCCGGGGTTAGTTCCATCCCTGATTCACACCCAAGGTGCATGTCACACCCATGGGGGGCACCCCAAAGTGGTAAGAAGTCCCAGGATGGAAGATAAGGCTAGAAAGGGGAGGTAGAGACACCTGTGGAAGAAAAAAAATGGCGAGGCAGAGAAGGGGTGCCTGGGTCCCCCCACAGATGAAAGTGCCCTCCCAGCAGACCCTGCACAGGGCCCTGGTGATCCTGGCGTCCCTGGTGCTCACCCACGGTGCATGTCACACTCGCGGTTTTACCCCAATGGGGCAAGAAGGCCCAGAAAGGATGATAAGGCTTGAAAGGGGAGGTAGAGGCACCTGTGGAAGGAAAAAAAAAAGGGAACAGCGGAGGTTCAGGCCGGGGTACCTCCTTGGACAAAAGTGCCTTCCCAGCAGCCCCTGGGTGGGGCCCCGTGGATCCTGACATCCCTGGTTCGCCCCCTTGGTAAGTGTCAATGACCTCATGGTATGTGTATATATATATATATACATGTGTGTGGTGTGAGCACCTAGAAAGTGACAACTCTCCAGGACAGAGCTGGCCTCACAGATTAACATGGTTTTTCACTTGGCAGGGAAAAGTAAAACGCCTCGTGTCCCTGGCTGGGCAACCCCCTCAGGAGTGCAGCAAGGAGACATGGGATCTGTGGACAGGAGGCTACTGGGCGAAACCTCTCATTGAGGATTATGTTAAAATTTGCACTTGAGACGCTGAGTGCCCTATGTCCTTCCCACTCACCAAAGAACCCCAGCTGAGCCAGCCCTGACTCCCAGACACAAGAGCCCAGGGAGAAGCTGGGAGAGAGGGAGACCCGCTGTGACCTCAGGGCATGGAAGGAGCCCTGACCTTTTTCTCCATGATGCCTTCCCCACTCCCAAGTGCCTCTGGCCTGAAGCTTCCAGGGACCCCTGCATTCCATCCATGCCCTCCTCTGCTCCCTCCAACCCAGCCTTTTCTAAAGCCCCATGCATTTGTCTCCATGAGAGTGCCCCAGTCTCAGGCGCTCACAGTGCCTCAGAAGCTCGGGGTCCCTGTGCCTGCCTGGAGGCAGTCTCACTCTATGTGGCCCCATGTGTGTTCTTGGATTTCTTTCTACACAAGGTCACCTGTAGGTGTACAGTAGACACATCACCTGTAGAAGAGCCAATGGGGATGGGTGAGGACCAGGAACCCTCTCAGGCACACACATGGAAAGAGAGAGAAGTGTTCCTGGAAGCACAGGCCTGGGGGTGGGTGCTAGCCCCCTGTGTCTCCTCTAATCAAAGAGGTCAGCGACTTTGGCCACAGAATACACACCCACTTCCCATGGGTTCACATCCAAAGAACAAACTCCTTCAGACTCCCTGGTCCATGCACTCGAGATCCCCAGGGTGTCTTGAGTTTTTATCCCAGAAGGAGAGAGAAACAAGCTTTCATCAGCTAAACAAGACCACTACTAATACTAATGTAGGTATTGACACTAATACTAGTACTACTACTAATACAAGTGCTAACACTACCAAAAGTACTGTACTAATATGAATATCAACAGGGATTTTTTTTTCTAGCTGCTCAAGGAAATGTGTGGAGTCATCCCCTATTTTCTTTTTATTGGAGCCACTGTGTCAGTGGCGACAGTGGTTAGGAGCCTCCTTTGGGTAAAAACGAGGTAACTTCAGCCCCTGCTTGCTCCACTGTCTGCCTCTCCAGGGCCTCTGTGTCCTGCTGCAGAGTCTAGCCTGTTCTTCACAGGCACACATTCCTTATGGCACAGAGACACACCAATAAAAAAAGTCCTGAGAGAAAGGAAGGAATGGCACCTGCAAGAGACCTCACACTGATGGACCTCAGAGATATTCGTGGTCTGAGGAACACAGAGGAGAATGTGTGGGGAGCAGATCCCCACTGAGAAAGAAGCAGGACAGCTGGGCGCAGTGGCTCACACCTGTAATCCCAGGACTTTGGGAGGCTGAGGCATGTGGATCATGAGGTTAGGAATTTGAGACCAGCCTGGCCAATATGGTGAAACCTCATCTCTAGTAAAAATAGAAAAATTAGCTGGGTGTGGTGTTGTGCCTGTAGTCCCAGCTACTTGGGAGGCTGAGGCAGGAGAATTGCTTGAACTGAGGAAGCAGAGGTTTCAGTGAACAATAGGAAAACAGTATTACAAGGAAAACTACTAGTCCTAAGATTTCTAACTATGTTTATTTGCTTGATGAGTCCTCAAGCTTCGGCCGTGCGTAGACTAGTCAGCTTCCAGTGTGTGACTAGAGCAGGGCTTGTTGTCTCCTCAACCTTCAGCTGTACGTAGACTGGTCAGCTTCTGGAGTGACCAGAGCAGGGCAGTCATCTTTAGCATCAGCTTGGTCTCATCTCAGGATCAGCTGTGTCTCATCTCAGGATCAGGTGGGTGATCTGGGTCCTGCTGGCTGGTCCACTTGTCCTGAGCTTCGGTTTCAGCCAGCTGTGGTGGATCCAAGGCACAACACCTGCAACTTTAACAGCAGAGGGAGTACACAAGATTACAGTATAGGGCTGGGTGTGTTGGCTCATGCCTGTAATCCCAGCACTTTCAGAGCCCGAGGCGGGTGGATCACGAGGTTGGGAGATGGAGAGCATCCTGGCTAACACGGTGAAACCTCATCTCTATTAAAAAAAAAAATACAAAAATTACCCACGCATGGTGGTGGGCACCTGTAGTCCCAGCTACCTGGGAGGCTGAGGCAAGAGAATGGTGCGACCCCCAGGAGGCAGAGCTTGCAGTGAGCTGAGATCATACCACTGCACTCCAGCCTGGGGGACAGAGCAAGACTCTGCATCAACAAAAAAAAAAAAAAAAAAAAAAAAAAAGGTTACAGTATAGGGCCCATCCCATATGGGTCCTAGAGAATTTAATTCAACTTTTTAACTCAGAGTCACTAGGTTTAAAGGGGTGTGTCTGGTCTGTCAGGCTTACAGGCATTCTTTCCTGTACCCACCCATGGACACTTTGCAAGTCTGTCCCTAATGCCTGCATTTGCTTTCTTAAGGTTAATTCTCTTAGTTCAAGGAGATAACCTTTAATTTGACTTATGATTGGGGGAGGCTGACTGAACAAAATCTCATAGGGCAAATACCCAGTTTGTTTGGTGAGGGTGCACCTGACTCAGAGGAGGACCATAGGCAAGACCTGATCCCATCTCAGATAGGTTTCCTGGAAATATTTCTTCAGAAGCTCCTTGAGTGTCTGGTTCATGCATTCCACTTTTTCTGAACTTTGCGGCTGATAGGCTGTGTGTAACTTCCATTTTATTTTTAACAGTCTTGTTAAATCTTGCACTATTTCAGCTACAAATGCCGTGCAATTAACGGACCCTAAAGTTAGAGGCAGTCCAAGCCTGGGGATGATGTCTCTTAGCAGTACTTTAGTCACTTCTCATGCTTTTTCTGTTCTGGTGGGGAAAGCTTCAACCCATCCTGAAAAGGTGTAAATAAGCACCAGCATATACTGATAGCCTCCGGCATGGGGTAGTTTGGTAAAGTCTACAAGAAAGTTTTCACAAGGCATGGTTCCTACTTCCTGAATTCTTGGGGGTTGAGTGGGCCCCTGTCACGGGTTGTTCTGAGCACAGGTTAAACATTGTTTACAAACAGCTCAAATGATGGCCACGGCACATAGAAACAGCATTTCAGTAATGTTTCCAGTGCCATTTTTTCCCATATGAGTTCCTAGATAAATTTGCTTCAGAAACGTAGGAGCTAACATTTCTGGAATGGCTAATGTCCCATTGAAGAATTTCCACCACCCTCCTTTAATATATTTTCCAGCTTCTTGAGCAAACCAGGCTCTTTCATTTGGAGTAGAACTTGGATCTTCTTGGAGAGGAGCTTCTGGGAGGAGAAGCATAGCTAAGGCTTCCTCTTTAAAATGTGATGCAATCATTGCTCCCCTCTTTGCCTCTCTGTCTGCCTTTCTGTTTCTTTTGGTTTTTGGTGTCCCTGACTTTTGGTGCCATCTGCAGTGCATTAAAGCTACTTTTCCTGGAGGCCATACAGCCTCTAAGAGCTGTAGAATCTCTTCTTTGTACTTGATTTCTTTGCCTCCAGCTGTTAAAAGCCCTTTCTCTTTGTCTATAACTTCATGTACATGCAATGTAGTAAAAGCATACTTAGAATCAGTGTAAATATTGACCTTCTTCTCTTTTGCTAGAAACAGTGCTCTTGTCAGGGCTATTAATTCTGCCTTTTGAGCTCATGTTCCAGTAGGCAGAGGCAGAGCATCTACTACTAAGTCCAATGTTATTACTGCATACCTGGCATCTTGAACCCCTTCTAGCACAAAACTACTTCCATCTGTGAAGTATTCAAAAGCCGGGTCTCTGAGGTCTGTCTGCAAGATCTTTCCGACTGGAGAACACCTCATCTACTGTTGCAACACAGTCATGGAGGGGAGCCCCCGGTTAGACTGGGAGCAGAGGAGCCAGGTTTAAGGTGTTCACTGTTTCTAAAATAATGTAAGGGTTCTCACAAGGAAGACCTGAGTCATTTTTGGGTTTGATAACCAAAGATGCCCTCTTTGGTCCATCAAAGTTATAACTGAGTGTGGCACCCGCACAGTTAGCTGCTGTCCCAGAGTTAATTTGCTAGCTTCTTGTGTTAACAAGATGGTGGCAGCTAATGCCTTAAGGCAAGGAGACCATCCTAGCACCACAGAGTCCAGTTGTTTGTATAAATACGCCACTGGGCAATGCCATGATGCTATAATTTGAGTCAGAACCCCTATAACCATTCCTTTTCATTCATGAATACATAGAAAGAGAGGCTTAATTATATCTGGTAGTCCTAAGGTTGGGCCTGACCTAAAGCTTCCTTGAGCTGTTTGAATGCTATTTCCTGATTAGTTTCCCAAAGGAGGGGCTCTTTTTCTCCGATTTTGTGGCTTCATATAATGTCTTAGCCATCACTGAAAAATTTGGAATCCAGATGTGGCAGAATCCTGCTGCCCCTAAAGGAAGGGGGCCAGCCCCTCCACACCTGTGGGTATACCTCATCAAGTGGGGTGAGAGACTGAGAAAAGAAATAAGACACAGAGACAAAGTGTAGAGAGAGAACAGCGGGCTTCTAGCCAGCAGAGAGTTGCCTGTGTTACTCTCCGACACTCCTCAGTGTTAAACAGTGGGAGAAAAAACTGCCTGCAGTCTGGCCAGGTTGGATTGTGTGTCAGAAAGATGGATTGCATCAGATCTATAAGAGCTTGGGGCTTTGCCATATAGGAGGGAGTATGGTGTTTCCAGTTCAAGAGATCAATGGTTGAAAAGGGATGATAGATGAAAGTCCATTCCCCCCACCTGACTTGGCCTTGGTCATCATAATAAATGGGTCCTCCCATCTCCCTGAGATGCATTTGCATAACTCAAGCATGGCTAGATCTGAGATGGCCGGCTTAACCATCTTGACTTCCTTCCCTGGCCTCTCAAGCCTCTGATCCTTCCTTTGGGGTGAGACTTTGGGTGTGCTAGCTCCTGAATCTGGTTCCTGGGGGACTGTTGGCCTCGGTAAAGAAGGCTAGGCTGGGACATATGGAGTAGGAATCTCTATTCCCTCTGGTGGATCCTGCAAAACTGGCTTTTTTGCTCCCTCTGGGACTTTGCCTTTAACTCTGTGTCTGCCGGTGAAGCTGTTCTTACTTTCATTTTTGGCACGGCTCTGGCCACAAGTGTTTTGCACTAACTGGCTAAACAGAGCTGGACCATGCTGGTCTTGTCTGTGCTATATTTAACCATAAGTCAATATAAGGAAATTGATCTGGGTGCCCAGGCTGTCCTCCAACCCCTGTCACCACCTTAAATACACGGTCAATTATTTCCCTATCTATAGTTCCTTTGGTTGGCCATCCAACACCAAAAGAAGGCCATTTGAATTCACAGAGAGTTCTCAACCTCTAGGAGGTTAGCGTAACTCCATAATCTCCTGCAAAACCTTTATTAAAGTTCTCTAACATGCACCCAATGGAGTGTGTTTTGATGACTTTCCTCCTATTTCCTCGCTTTACGATGCAGCACACCCACTCTTCCTTTTGCCTCAGACCCACCAGATCATCTCCTATTATGGGAGTTTTCAGATGCCACTTGGCTTAAGAAAGGGTTTTATTCCCACCATAACTCTGAGATGTGGGGCAGCTCCTATTAGCTGTATGCGGTTCGCCACTAGTGCAGGTTGGCCCCACACTTGGCTTGGAGCACACAGACCATGCTAAGAGATCTGTGACTCCCCATGCCACTCCCACATTGGTTCCTCCCTGAACTGTATCTTTCACACACTTTCACACACCTCCCCACTCCCAGTTCGTGTGTTCCTAATTGGGGTTGTGAGCCACTCTCACCACCTCCAGTTTTCTTTTCCTAACCGACTTGGGGAGCCACTCTTGCATTGTGTGCCAGGTAGGGTGTGAGATTCATCTGAATTGGCGAGCCTCTGTCACCACCTCCAGCCTCTCTGGGTCAGATTACTAGTTACACCCTTGGAGGTGATCAGGCTCCCCTTCCGTCCTTATGGGACGGATCCTGTCTTTGGTCCCAAAACTTTACTGCAGTCCTGAAGAAATCACACTGCTCCTGGAATCATCCTGTAGCCCCTCAGGTTCTGTTGTGCTGCTGGGTGGGGGCACCAGGTCACAGGAGAGCCGATCTCCCCTCTGGGCTGAAGTTCTTCCAGCAGCGCCTGGGGTCACAGGTTTCTTTCCCTTGACCCTGGGCTCCAGCCCCACAAGAAAAGGAGAAAGTAAACCTGTCATCTCCACTCCTCCTGTCTGGCTCACCAAAAAGTTCTGAGAAACTGAGGACCAGAGAGACTGATATGGGAAAACAGGAGGATTTTTTTTTTTAAGGTACACACTGGCTCAGTGGATTCATATCCAAAAAGCTGAGCATTGAACAAAGACTGAGCAGGATTTTTATAAGCAGGCTTACAGAAGCAAAACAATGGCAGTTAATCATACAATGACAGGTAATGTAATCTATTACATAACTGTGGCCTTGCATAGCTGGTGGCCTTGTAGCTGCATCAAAAGAAAAAAGAAGAACTGGCTAAATACAGACATTTGCCATTTTTCTTTCTTTTTTTTAATCACCCTTGCTCTGGAGCAGTGGGTGTCTGGAGCCTATTCCTTTCTTTCAACTTCTCCAACAGCATTATCTTATAACTGTCCTTGAAATGAGCTTGCTAGGCAGAGGAAAACTTGTTTTTTGTTTGTTTGTTTGTTTGTTTTACCTTTGCCTGACACATTCTGGGCCTTGGCTTTTACTTCTCAGACTAGGTCACTATGACCTTCTTATAGCTTTGTCTGTAACTTTTCTTGGAGTAAATGAATGTAGTATTTATTGTTATTATTGTGTTTAAATTTCTGCCTCAAGACCAGACTACGTAGTAAAGCAAGACCCCATCACTATTAAAAAAATTAATAGAAAATAGCATATATGATGGGGCATGGTGGTTCATGCCTGTAATCCCAGCACTTTGGGAGGCCAAGGCAGGTGGATCATCTGAGGTTAGGAGTTCGTGACCAGTGAGGCCAATATGGTGAAACCCCAACCCTACTAAAAATACAAAAATTAGCTGGGTGTGTTGGCTCGCACCTGTAATCTCAGCTACGCAGGAGGCTGAGGCAGAAGAATCACTTGAATTTGGGAGGTGGAGGTTGCAGTGAGCTGAGATCATGCCATTGCACCCCAGCCTGAGTGACAGAGTGAGACTTCATTTCAAAATTAAAAAAAAAAAAGAAAAGAAAATAGCATATGGAATATCTCTGTGGTTTTCTTAAAAACAAAGCAAAATCTGTCATTTAAAATCACAATAACATTGCTGGGCACCATGGTTCACTTGAGTCCAGGAATTCTGAGACTAGCCCAGGAAATGTGGTAAAATCTTTTCTCTGCATGAAATACAAAATATTAGCCAGGTATGCTGCCACATGCTGGAAGTTCCAGCTACTCAGAAGGCTGAGAGGGGATGATTGCTTGAGCCTGGGAGGCAGAGGTTGCAGTAGGTCAAGATTGCAACACTGCACACCACCCTGGGTGACACCCAATCTAAAAAAAAAAAAAGTCTTTCAATCCTTTTGTCCAGATGCCCACAAAATACCTGCCATGTTTTATGTTGTCTTGGTTCCCTCCTAGGGTCCCATTAGAACACTTAGTCCCATCCAGCCCAGCCCTCACCTTACTTTGTAATGTAGGCCTGATTTCTTTCAGTGAAACCTTGACCTTAACCTTGAGAAAAATTACACCCTCAGTAGTTCCTGTCTTCCACCTGAATGGGCATATGATCTACCATGTTAGGTAGCATAAAACCCAGGTGCCCAGTGGATACACAGAGATTTTTATTGTGTTTTTTAGGGATGACATCCCTGTCTTCTTAAAGCTGCTTTAATGCTGAAATGTTTTGATACTTTTGATGTGGCCAAAGATTCTCCAATAAAGATATATATATATTCTAATGTCAGAAACAGATTAA
Source organism: Homo sapiens (assembly GCF_000001405.40). Taxonomy (NCBI): domain Eukaryota; kingdom Metazoa; phylum Chordata; class Mammalia; order Primates; family Hominidae; genus Homo; species Homo sapiens. The sequence goes on from NW_015495298.1 coordinate 138,799, forward strand.
ATCCTTCCCTGTATCACTATGAAGGTCACATATTAGTCAAACTTTACCAGTGTTTGTGGAATAAGTGAATAAATGAGTTTTAGACCTTCATCCTGTTATTACTTCTTTCACTTTCATAAATGCCTATCTAATTTAATCACTTCATGAGAAGAAAATTGAAAACTCAATCAGGGTTAACTGGGTGGAAGTTCACGATCCAGTTGGATGTCGTTTTCGAATTGGAAGTTGGTAGTCAAGAAGGGGGTTGTAGTGAGAAAGGTCAATAAAAGCTCCTGAAGGTGCACAGAAGAGACCCAAAGCCCTGGCTCCTGGAGCTACTGCTTGATTCTCACAGAGGTCCCGGCACCCTGCAAAGTGAGTCCAGAACTGGCAAGTCACCACTTTTTAGGGACATGCCCATTTGATCTGATCTTCTGTATAGCAAGTCATACAAAAGTCTGGAAGACACTAGCACATACACTGTGAAGAGAAGTCTGGGATAAGGGGAAGATTATAGGAGATGTTTGCTCTGTGGTTTTGGAATGTTTTGCATTCAGAATACTGTCCAGAGAAGGGAAAAATGATGAAAAACAAATGAAGCTCGCCCTCATGTACCTCTATGTACCTCCTACCATGCTGGACTTTCTTGTTTTGTTTCATTTTGTTTTTCTTTCTTTCTTTCTCTCTCTCTCTCTCTCTCTCTTTCTTTCTTTCTTTTTCTTTTTTTGATACGGTATCTCACTCTGTTGCCTAGGCTGGGGTGCAATGGCATGATCTTCGATCACTGCAACCTCCACCTCCTGCGTTCAAGCAATTCTCCTCCCTCAGTCTCCCCAGTAGTGGGGACTACACCTATGCACCACCACGCCCAGTCAATTTTTGTATTTTTAATAGAGACAGGATTTCAATCATGTTGGCCATGCTTGTCTCAAACTTCCGACCTAAAGTGACCCACCCACTTCGGCCTCCCAGATGCTGGGATTACAGATGTGAGCCACTGCACCTGGCCAATTGCTGTACTTTCATGATACACATGGAGTATCCACAGTATCACAAGGGCTATTTTTTCCATAATCCAACTTATTTGTATTATTGGTAGTGAGCTACTGTTGACGTCCCCACGTTAGCAATTTAGTGGCTATACTGATGATAAGCATTTCCATGCATCATGTGGTCAACAGCATTTGCTACCAAGTGCCACGTTCCATGCTCAGCAGTGGGACCACAGGATGAGCGAGACAAAGTTCCTGACCTTTAGCAGCAATATCGAACAAGTGAGATTGTCAAGAAAGAAAAAATCCTTGTAAAACATACCATACCCCTACGATTCAGTCATCATGCTCCCAGGTATTTAACGAAGGGAGTAAACCCACACCTGGATGTTTATAGCAGCTTTATTCATAATCGCCAAAACTTGGAAGCAAGAAAGATGCCCTTCAGTGGGTGACTGGATAAAGAAACTGTGATCCATCTGGTCAGTGAACTATTACGAAGCCATAAAAAGACATGAAAGATTCCTAAATGCACGTTATTGTACAAGTGAAAGAAGGCAATGTGAAAAGACTCATCCTGTTAGACATTCCAGAAGAGCCTTCTGCCTTTTTCTATGGAGATGGTAGAAAACCCAGTGGTTGCAAGGGATTTGGAGTACAATGGGATGAATGGAAAGAGGACAGAGGACTTTTAAGGAAACAAAACTACTCTCCATGATGCTCTAATGGTGGATACATGTCATTATCCCTTTGTTAAAATCCATAGAATATACAAAACCAGCAATGATCCTTCATGTGAACTATGGACATTGGGTGATAATGATGTGTCCCTGTGGCTCATTGGTTGTGACGAATGCTCTGTGCTGGTGTGGGTGCTGATCCTGTGGGGGTGCTGTGTATTGAAGGGGGAAGAAGGTAGATGAGAACTCTGCAGTTTCTGCTTAGTTTTTCTGTGAATCTAAAACTGCTATAAAGAAAAAAATAGGCTGGGCGTGGTGGCTCACATCTATAGTCGTAGCATTTTGGGAAGCCGAGGCGGGTGGATCACCTGAGGTCAGGGGTTCGAGACCAGCCTGGCTAAAATGACAAAACCCTGTCTCTACTAAAAAATAATAATAATAATAATACAAAAATTAATCAGGTGTGGTGGTGCATGCCTGTAATCCCAGCTACTCTGGAGGCTGAGACAGGAGAATTGTTTGAACCCTGGAGGCAGAGGTTGCAGTGAGCTGAGATCGTACCACTGCACTCCAGCCTGGGTGAAAGAGTGAGACTCCATCTCCAAAATAAATAAATAAATAAACTCAAGGCTGGGTGCGGTGGCTCATACCTATAAGAGCTCACTCCCAGCAATTTAGGAGGCCGAGGCAGGTGGATCGCTTGAGCCCAGAATTTCAAGACCAGTCTGGGCAACGTGGTGAAGCCTGGTCTTCACTAAGAATACAAAAATAAGCCAGGCATGATGGTGCATGCCTGTTGTTCCAGCTACTAGGGGGACTGAGGCAGGGAGATCACCTGAGCCTAGGAGGTCAAGGCTGCAGTAAGCCGTGATCATGCCACTGCACTCCAATCTGGACGACAGAGTGAGACTTTGTCTCCAAATAAAATAAAATAAAATAAAATAAACTCAATATTTTTAAAAACTGTAATGTTTCCTTTCAAAGCTAAAATTGTATTATTCTAAATATATTTTAAAGAAGAAATGATTATTGTTCAGTGTCTTTAAAATTAGTTTTTAAAATCTCATTTGTTTTGACATTTCAAACCAAGTTAAGTATTCTTTTTCTCACCCTCCTTGAGACGGAGTCTTCCTCTTTCACCCAGGCTGGAGTGCAGTGGTGCATTCTCGGCTCACTGCAACCTTTGCCTCCCAGGTTCAAGCGATTCTCTTGCCTCAGCCTCCTGACTATCTGGGATTACAGGCGCCTGTCACCACGCCAGGCTAATTTTTTGTATTTTTCGTAGAGACGGGGTTTCATCATGTTGGCCAGGCTGGTCTGGAACTCCTGACCTCGTGATCTGCCCACCTCGGCCTCCCAAAGTGCCAGGAATACAGGCATGAACCACCACACCTGGCCATTAACCATTCTTAACATATCACGTTGCATTCTTTAAAAGTTCTAATCTTTCATGTACATAAATTACAACACAAATATTTGTACTCTAATAGTATTCACATTATAGTAAATTTTTTTTCATGCTCTGTCACCCAGGCTGGAGTGCAGTGGCGCGATCTTGTCTCATTGCAACCTTCGCCTCCCGGGTTCAAGTGATTGTCCTGCCCCAGCCTCCTGAATACCTGGGATTACAGGCGAATGCCACCACTCCCAGCAAATTTTGTGTATTTTTAGTAGAGACGGGGTTTCACCATGTTGGCAAGGCTGGTCTCAAAATCCCGAGGCTGCCTTGGCCTCCCAAAGTGCTGGGATTAGAAGTGTGAGACACCATGCCCGGCCATAATAATAAATTTTATTTTATCTTTTTTTTTTTGAGACGGACTTTTGCTACTGTTGCCCAGGCTGGAGTGCAATGGCTCAGTCTGAGCTCACCGCAACCTCCACCTCCCAGGTTCAAACGATTCTCCCGCCTCAGCCTATCGAGTAGCTGCAATTACAGACGTGCGCCACCACGCCTGGCTAATTTTTTGTATTTTAAGTAGAGAAGGGGTTTCTTCATGTTGCTCAGGCTGGTCTCAAACTCCCAACCTCAGGTGATCCACCTGCCTCAGCCTCCCAAAGTGCTGGAATTACAGGCGTGAGCCACTGCACCTGGCTCATAATAGTACATTTTTAAAAACACCATAAAATATAATCCTTGCAACACTCAATTATACCATCTGGTCGGATCTATCAGCAGATGGCACCCGAGACATACGGATTGGAAATTTTGATCTTATTATGAATGAATCCAGTCCAGAAATGCCCACCCTGCCCCCTGCTGGCTCCTGGGGCTCTGCTCTTTGGGGGAATCATGATGAAATTGTGGCAGAGAGTAGAAGTTGAGCCCCATTGCATGCCCTGAGTTCTTGTTGCCTCTCTATTATCAGGAAAAGGAGGTGAGATTGAAAGATGAAAAATGCTGGGACTTCTGCTGAGAAGAGAAAAAAGAACAAGATGTATTGATCTTACTGTATGCCAGACCCCATGCCAAGCCCTAAACATGAACCATCTCATTGGATCCTACCTAGGTCCCATAAGCTGTTGGACATCATCATCCTCATTTTACAGGAAGCTGAGGCTCTTGGCTAACATCCCTGACAGCAACACCAGCCCCTGAGTACTCAGCAGGATCCTTCACTTGGATGCCCGCTATGCAGGCTTCCTCAGCACAGGGAAGGTCACTCATCACCCACAGGCCCTTGATCGTTATCCACCCTTTGATGCTGTCAGATTCCAGAACACGCTGCACTAGTCTCTTCCTTCATAGGGAGAGAGGGAAAGTGTTATGAGAAAATCTCTCATCAATCTGACCTAGCTCCCCAAAAAGATGTAACTTTTAAAATGTCAGATGGAAATATTTAAAAAGTGTTACATGCCTGTATAGTTTTAGTATTTTACTTAAAGGGAATGTGGCTGTCTTTACTGGCTACAACCAGTTTAATTCAAGAAGGGCTGCTGGTCATCAGGGGAACAAGCAAGGTTTGGTGCTGCCCAGAGTCTCCAGCTAATACACAATATGGACATACCCTTCCAGGGCAGCGAGAAGAGAGTGGGTCCTTGTGCAGTGCAGCTGACATCCACCAACTAAGGCTTCTGGAAGCATGTGGAGACTCACAGGGAGTGGGCAGGGTCTCAGCATCTGGCTAGCGGTGAAAGACCCTGAGAAGAAGGTGCTTTCCGTGTGGATTGGCTCACTGTTCTTGCCCAGTAATGTTCCAGGCCTTTGGTGTCCACCTGGTGTGTATTAACCCACTGAACAGCCACAGAAACTAACAAGGATTTAACAGACATCTAAAGAAGTGAAGAACTGGAGGAGGCCAAGCCAAGCGTGGTGGTCCACGCCTATACTCCCTGCATTTTGGGAGGCCAAGGCAGGAGAATCACAAGCTCAGGAGTTCCAGATCAGCCTGGGGAAGACAGCGAGGCCTTGTTTCTACTAAAAAAAAGTATCCAGGTGTGGTGGCTCACACAGCTGTAGTCCTAGCTACTCAGGAGGCTGAGGTGGGAAGATCGCCTGAACCCAGGAAATTGAGGCTGCAGTGAGGTATGATTGTGCCACTGCACTGTAGCCTGAGTGACAGAAGACCTTTAAAAAACAAAAACAAAAGCAAAAGCCTGACACAGTGGCTCACACCTGTAATCCCAGCATTTTGGTAGGCCTACTTGCATGAATCACCCAAAGTCAGGAGTTTGAGACCAGCCTGACCAACATAGTGAGGAAACCCTGTCTCTACTAAACATACACAAATTAGCTGGGCACGGTGGTGCATGCCAGTAATCCCAGCTACTTGGGAGGCTGAGGCAGGAGAATCATTTAAACCCCAGGTGGAGGTTGCAGTCAGCTGAGATGGCACCATTGCACTCTAAACTCCAGCCTGGGCAACAAGAGTGAAACTCTGTCTCCAATAAAAGAATGGGAGGAAACTGATTACAATAACCAAATTTCATTTAAATGCCTTGATTTTCTTGGGCTGCATCTTATTGATTGGACAACTCAGTCAGTGCCTTTTGTTTTTTCCATCAATAACTGAAGATTCCTGAGGCTTAAACTGGAAAACAGGTTACTTAATAATAGAGGGCACCAGACAGATTCTGCTCAGTTTTCCTTTATTTCTGATTGTTTCTTTACAACCATCCATGCAAGAGTAACTCCCTCATGTATTCTCAAGCCTGAATTCCACTCTAGACATTCAGATTCCCATTTTCGACTCTACAGGATACACGTTCCCAAAGTCCCATCGAATCCATGGCAACATTTCCCCCAAGTCCTGCCCCTGCTTGATCAGCATTCCTTTCCCACTTTCAGAGCCCATGTGTGAAACGATGGGTTCTGTGCTCCCTTTAGGATGTACCTAAGACCTAGGTTTTAGTTTCCAAGTGTCCAGAAGAAAGCGTTTGACATACCCATCCAAATAGGCAGGCATTCAACAGCAGTATTGATCTGCCTCCAGGTCATAAAATGACCTGTTGCCACAGTCAGGGCAGTAGTCAGTACCGAACAAGATCCTCTTGGGGTGCCTTAAGTCCCTAACTCTCTTCATCAGCTCAGCCCTAATCTGAGTAAATCTGCTCCAGCAGAGAGTACCATCAGCACCATAACTCTCCCGTGGGGCAGGATACAGCTCCAGGCATAAGTTTTTGAGTATGATTGTGTGGCTCAGCAGGTTCTCCAGGGTGGCCATGGAGATGGGATTTCCACAGAAGCTGAAGGTGTTGAGCTCAAAGCAGCGGCTCAGGGCAGGCAGGATGGCGTTGACTTGGGAGTCTATGATGCCACAGTCATCTAAATCCAGGTACTCAAGGGTGGCTGCAACTTTTTCTAGGAGAATTTGGAGAGGCACAAGACTGTAATTGGTCAGTCTGATGCCACTCAGGTCCAGGGTCTTTAGTTGACTGATACTCGGGCACTGGGATAGATGCTTCAAGTCTGATTCCAAAAGCACACAGTTAGTTATTGTGAGGACCTTTAACGAGGTCTTCAGACAGCTGTGGAGAGAGAGCAAGAAGTTAATTCTGGGGAATCATAGGGGTGAGTGGAGGGTGGTGGGGAATGGCTTCAAGGTAATGGATGGAGACCATTTTGCCCAAGTCCAGGATCATTCTCATGGCCGGATGGTCAACACTTCGGATGATGTGTGATGAAGAGCTTTGCCACCGAGGTCAATTCCACTTTAGGCCCGGCCCAGTAACTCACACCTGTAATCCCAGAACTTTGGGAGGCTGAGACTGGTGGATTCCTTGAGATCAGGAGTTTGAGACCAGCCTGCTGAACATGGCAAAACCTCCTCTCTACTAAAAATCCAAAAATTAGCCAGCTGTGGTGGCGGGAGCCTGCAATTCCAGCTACTTGGGAAGCTGAGGCAGAAGAATCGCTTGAACCCAGGAGGTGTAGGTTGCAGTGAGCAGAGATCATGCCACTACACTCCAGCCTGGGTGACAGAGAGAGACTCTGTATTAAAAAAAAAAAAGGAGAAAAAATAATTCCATTTGAGGCTGAGTCATTTCACCATCATTTATAGGAATGGATCAAGTTCACAGAATCCCTAAAGCTCCCTTTCCTCATCTGTCAGGCAGAAAACCACATCCCTGGGCCACAGAAGCCCAGTGGAGATGCAGGCATAAAGGACAAACCCAGACAGGATCCTGCAACATCAGCTGGGGTGGGCGGGCTGCAGGCGTCCCTGACACGCCTGTATCATCAGCAAACCATCTATCACTTTCACCATTCTTTGTGCCTGCTCCCTGACCCTCTGTTTCAGAATCATACATTTCCTAGGTAATTAATTTACCTGGAGCTCAAAAGAAACTTTTACAACAGGGAATTAGAGATGGGATCATTCATGTTCACGGAACTGTGGGGCACAAAGCTGATTTTCTGACATGTGCAGATTTGCTGAGCATTCCCCTCTTCAGTGACCACTTCACTTCCCTACTTCCCATCATCTTCTTAAAAATTATCTTGTTGGCTGGGCGTGGTAGCTCTCGCCTATAATCCCAGCACTTTGGGAGTCCAAGGTGGGCGGATCACCTGAAGTCAGGAGTTGGAGAATATCCTGGCCAACATGGTGAAACCCTGTCTCTACTTAAAATATAAAAATTAGCCAGGTGTGGTGGCCCACGCCTGTAATCCCAGGCACTGAGGAGGCTGAGGCAGGAGAATCGCTTGAACCTGGGAGGCAGAAGTTGCTGCGAGCTGAGATGTCACAACTGCACTCTAGCCTGGACGATCATAGTGAAAATCCATCTCAGAAAAAAAAAAAGTTATCTTGTTTGTTTTTACTTTTATTTCTTCATTTCTGACAGGGGTCTTGGGATGTTACCCAGACTGGTCTTAAACTCCTAGGCTCAAGCTATCCTCTTGCCTCAGACTCCCAAAGTGATAGGATTACAGGCATGAGCCACCGTCCCTGGCCTATTTTTCATCATCTTAACTTAGACACACGTCCTCAGGAAGAATTCAGAAAGGCACCCTCACTAGATCTGAACCCCCCAGTAGCTAGCTTCCTAGTATGGCAACCTCTCTATAGCATCTCCCCTAGCTGATCCCTCTGCCTCTATTGGGATGGTTGCATGATACCCATTTCAGGACAGGGCCGCCAACAGGACAATGTATGGACATTCTAGTGTCCCCTTCACTGTTTCATCCTCATAGGCTGGCTCACAGTAGATGCCCACTAGCGTTTAGTGAAACAGGCTCTGCTGTGGTCTGCAGAGAAAGCTCACCACCCTCCCTCACCTGAGCAGCTGGTCCAGGTGGCCTTCGAGGAAAGAAACAGAGTTCATATAAAGCTTTTGGAGGCAGTGCAGCTTGAGGAACTGAGTGGTGAACTGGGTAACAATCTCCTTCTTCTGCTCTGGGGAAACGTAGCGAGAGACATCCATGTGGGAGAGAACGAGCTTCTGAAGATTCCTCATGTGGCCCAGGTATGGGGTAAACTGTGTCAGGATGGGCAGTACCCACTTGCAATTCACTTCCACCTCCTGGATACAGTCTAGGTTCACCATTTTCAGGATGCTTCTGATATTGCGGAAGGGCATTCCCAAAATTTTCAGCTTCTTACAGCACAGGTGTAGTAAATCTTTCCTCTGCTTGACCCATAGAAGGAGGCAGGTGAGGTGTTCATCCAGAGTCCTGTTCTTGAGCCAAAGTTCTACGAACACAGTCAAGGGCTGCCGTCCTCTCATCCTTGGACAGTCCTGCACTGGTTTTTTGTTCCTCTTGGCATTGAGGAAGCACCCACGGGCCATAGCTTCAGACCAAACCATCCAGAAGTTCTCACAGACATCCTGTAAATCCAGCACTTGAAGTTTCCACCTCCTGTGGGAAAATAGAGGTGAGACTGAGAATTTCAGAACTCATTTCTGAACTTAAACTCCACATCCTGGATAGCAGCTCCTCCCCTCCCTGCTTCTTGTCCCTGTCTCTGACATTTCTCCACCCTGTTTTCCCCTTGGATCCTGCCCACTTTCACATTTTTTTTTTTTTTTTTTTTTTTGAGACCAAGTCTCCTTCTGTCACCCAGGCTGGAGTGCAGTGGTGTGATGTCACCTCACTGCAACCTCTGCTTCCCCGGTTCAAAGGATTCTCCTGCCTCAACCTTGCAAGTAGCTGGGATTACAGGAGCCCAGCACCATGCCCAGCTAATTTTAGTATTTTTAGTAGAGTTGGGGTTTACCATGTTGGACAGGCTGGCCTCCAACTCTTGACCTCGGCCTCCCAATGTGCTGGGAATACATTGTGAGCCACCGTGCCCGGCCCAGTTCTCACTTTTCATGCTGGCTTTCAGTGCCATTAGGGGAGAGGTTCCTGTTACCTCCATGGACCTGGCATGGTCAGCAGTGCTTTCCCTGAGGAGCTGGTGAATGGCCAAGGCCTCTCAGCTTCCTCACCACCACCATCGCCCCTTGGGCCTCCTCACTTCTCATGACCCAGCTGTTCCTTCGGTTGGACACCTGGGCCCTCCCCACCAGCCCACCTGGCCCACCTCACCTGGGACGAACCCCGTGGGTAAGCAGTGCATCAAGCCCATTGAGCACAGCTTGGAAGGTCTCCAGACAAGGCATCTTTATCAGAGGCCTCAGAGGGAGGCGGCGGAAGGGCCAGGCCTGTACCATCAGCTTCAGGGCCTCACAGCGTCTCCTGCTGAAGGCCTCCATGAACAGTGGGGGGAAAAGTTCTGTGGGCAGCTCCTCCAGGGTGGACATGGCCAAGGCTTGGTCCCTCAGCACGCTCCGCCCCGCCAGCTCCAGGAGTCTGGGTGGAGTCCGGATGCTCATCTTCATGAATCTGCAGGGAAAACTTCCAGAGGACAAACCCAGAGAAAAGGCATCACTCTCAGGACAAGCCCATGCAATCTCATCTTCTCCCAGGGCCAAAGTCACTGCTTTGGCAATGGTGAAACAGCCCTCAGTTTACTCCAATTCTACTCAGTACTCAGTGGCCATTAAGCCAGCATTCTGCCTCTGCTGCATCAGCATGAGCGTCTCCGAAGCAGTGAGGAGGCAGGGCCACAACTAGCCCTTCCTTTCTATCCAGTGCTCCATCCAGTGACTAGTGAGTGTGGAGGAACCTGAAAGCAAACCCCTCCGACCATTGGGGGAAATTACTAATTACTCAAGGTTCTAAAACAATGGGAAAGGGAGTGTCACAAGCCTACATGCCCACAATTTCAGTTCCTACAAATAAGCTTGTTGGGAACATTCATGGGGCATCCCTAGAACAGGTTCTATTTGTTTTCTTTTCTTTATTTAAGGTTTCCTTCTCTTTCTCTCTCTTCTTTCCTTCTTTCCCTCTCTCCCTCCCTTCTTTCTTTCTTCCCCCCTCTCTCTCCCTTCTTTCTTTCTTGTCTTCTTTCCCTGCATCCCTTCTCTCATTCTCTCTCTCCCTCCCTCTCTCCCTCACTCTTTCTGACAGGGTCTTGCTCTGTTACCCAGCCTGGAGTGCAGTGGTGGGATCTTGGCTCACTGCAGCCTTGACTTCCCAGCCTCCCAAGCCTCCTCAGCCTCCCAAGTAGCTGGGACCACAGTTATGCATCACCACACCCAGCTCATCTTTTATGTTTTGACTTTTTGTAAAGACAGTGGATTTCACTATGTTGTCCAAGCTGGTCTTGAACTCCTAGTCTCAAGCAATCCACCCCCCTTGGCCTCCCAAAGTACCGGGATTATAGTTGTGAGCCTCCACTCCAGCCTTATTATCGAATATTTCAGTGAGAAGCTTTGAAAGCTATGTGACACTGTTATGCATCATTCGCAAGATAGATGATTCCAATACACACCTCTCGCACATATTCAAAATCAACCACTTTGGCTGGGTGCAGTGACTCACCCGTAATCTGAGCATTTTGTGAGGCCAAGGCAGGTGGATCATCTGAGATCAGGAGTTCAAGACGAGCCTGGCCAACATGGTAAAACCCTACCTCTACTAAGCCAGCAAAAATTAGCCAGGTGCAGTGGTCTGCGCCTGTAGTCCAAGCTACTAGGGAGGCTGAGGCAGGAGGATCACTTGAACCCAGGAGGCAGAAGTTGCGGTGAGCTGACATTATACCACTCCACTCCAGCCTGGGAAATAGGCTAGATTCAAAAGAGAGACAGAGAGAGCTACATTTGATTAGACTTCTTAATCTCTACCCAGTTAATCCTGATTGGATTTTTGGCTTTCTTCCAGATTAACTGATTGAATTAGATATTCATCCATCAAAATGAAAGATTTAGGGATAGGGTGAAAGTCCAAGACTCATTCACTGATTCACTCCACAAACGTGGAGTTTTACTAATATGTGTCCTTCACAGTCCTGAGTGTGAGACAGGGAAGGGTTGAATCTCTTCCTGATATTAGACAGAAAGAAAGAAAACTTGAAAGTATCTGTAGAGGGATCCTTGGCCACATCAAATTTCTCAAAATATTTCAGAGTTAAAACAGTTTTACAAAGACAGAGATGACAGTTCCTAAGAAAACACAATAGTAATCTTCATATATCCAGTGATTACCTGGGTGGCATAATTCTTCTTGGTGTTGAGGGAGCTGAGTCTCACTTCGTTGCCCAGGCTGGAGTGCAGTGGTGCCATCTCGGCTCACTGTTACCTCAGCCTCCAAGATTCAAGCAATTCTCATGCTTCAGTCTTCCACGTAGCTGGGATTACAGGCATGCACCCCCACACTCATGTCTCCATTTGGGTGGAAGAGGATGTGATTGCTTTAAAATTAAGGTCAAAGATCCTTTTTTGTTAAGATGTTGCTTTTGTTTTTTGGACAGGGTCTCTCTCTTTTGCCCAGGCTGGAGTACAGCAGTGGTGTGAGCATGGCTCACTGCATCCTCAATCTTCTGGGCTAAAGTGATTCTCCCACACCAGCCACCCAAATAGCTGGGGCTACAGATGCATGCCACCATGCCCAGCTAATTAAAAAAAAAAAAAAAGTAGAGGCCAAGCACCAGTGGCTCATGGCTCTAATCCCAGCATTTTGGGAGGCCAAGGCAGGTGGATCACTTGAGGTCAGGCGTTTGAGACCAAACTGGCCAGCATGGTGAAACCCCCGCCCCTACTAAAAATACAAAAATTAGCCAGGCATGGTTTCAGATGACTGTTATACCAGCTTCTCTGTATGGAGACTGATGCATGAGAATTGCTTGAACCTGGGAGGTAAAGGTTACAGTGAGTTGAGATCGTGCCACTGCACTCCAGTCTGGGCAACACAGCGAGACTCCATCCCCATCCTCAAAAAAAAAAAAACGTTGTGTAGAGGAGGGTTTTTGTCATGTTGCCCAGGTTGGTATCAAACCCCTGGGCTGAAATGATCCTCCCACTTTGGCCTCCCAAAGTGTTGGGGTTAAAGGCATGAGTCACTGCTCCCTTCAAGAATTTTGAAATGACCTAAACCAAAGCACAATCAACTTTTTTGAAATAAAGACAGAACTCTATTTAGAGGAAAACATTCAAAGCTTCAAATTGTTCATATGAAAAAAAAAAGGACAGGATATAGCTCTGTGCCATCGTAGGCTGCACTGTCACCATCCCAGACCAGCTGACTGTAGGTCAGATGGGAGTGTCCTTACAGAAATTAATGACTTACCAGATCTGGATGTAGTTTAGAAGGTGCTCAGACCTCAGGAAGAACCAGGCAGGAACTCCAGGCTTGAAGACTTTGGGTCTCTCCTGTGGGTCTTTAGAAGCTTTTATTGACGTTTCTAGTCACAACTCCCACCCACGCCCCTCCACGTATCCGCTGCTAGCTTCCAATCAAAAAGTGATATCTGATTGCATTTCTGAAGCTCCAGCCAGTTAATCCTGATTGGGTTTTTGGCTCTCCCCAGATTAATGGATTGAATCAGATGTCCATTCATATCACATATCTATATTCACTTCACGAAGCAAGAAATTGACAGTGTTAGGGATAGGGTAGAAGTCAAGAATACATTCATTCAAGGCCAGGTGAGGTGGCTCACTCCTGTAATCCCAGCACTTTGGGAGGCAGAGGCAGGTGGATTATCTGAGGTCAGGAGTTTGAGAAAAGCCTGGCCGACATGGTAAAACCCTACCTCTACCAAAATTACAAAAATTAGCCAGGTGCGGTGGTCTGTGCCTATAGTCCAAGCTACCAGGGAGGTTGAGGCAGGAGGATCGCTTGAACCCAGGAGGCAGAGGTTGCAGTGAATTGACAATACACCACTGCACTCCAGCCTGGGAAATAGGCAAGATTCAAAAAAAAAAAAAAAAAAAAAAGAAAAAAGAGAGAGAGAGAACTACATTTGTACATTTGATTTGACTTCTTAAACTCTACCCAGTTAATCCTGATTGGATTTTTTGCTTTCTTCCAGATTTACTGATTGAGTTAGATATTCATCCATCGAAGTGAAAGAATTAGGGATAGGGTGAAAGTCCAGGACTCATTCAGTGATTCACTCCATAAACATGGAGTTTTACTAATATGTGTCCTTCAAAGTCCTGAGTGTGAGAGAGGGAAGGGTTGAATCTCTTCCTGACATTAGAGAAAAGAAAAAACTTGAAAGTACCTTTGTTGAGGGATCCTTGGCCACATCAAATTTATCGAAATATTTCAGAGTTAAAACGTTTTACAAAGACAGAGATGACAGTCCCCAAGAAAACACAATAGAAATCTTCATGTATCCAGTGATCACCTGGGTGGTATAATCTAATTTTTTTGGTGTGGGGGAAGCTGAGTCTAACTTTTTGCCCCATGCTGGAGTGCAGCGGCGCCATCTCAGCTCATTGTAACCTCCGCCTCTGAGATTCAAGCAATTCTCATGCTTCAGGCTTCCACGTAGCTGGGATTACAGGCATGCACCCCACACCCATGTCTCCATTCAGGTGGAAGAATTACCGAGAGGATGTGATTGGTTTAAAATTAAGGTCGAAGATCCTTTTTTGTTAAGATTTTGTTTTTGTTTTTTGGACAGGGTCTCTCTCTTTTGCCCAGGCTGGAGTACAGCAGTGGTGTGAGCATGGCTCACTGCAGCCTCAATCTTCTGGGCTAAAGTGATTCTCCCACACCAGTCACCCAAATAGCTGGGACTACAGATGCATGCCACCATGCCCGGCTAATTAAAAAAAAAAAAAGTAGAGGCCGAGCACCAGTGGCTCACGGCTCTAATCCCAGCAGTTTGGGAGGCCAAGGCAGGTGGATCACTTGAGGTCAGGTGTTGGAGACCAACCTGGCCAGCATGGTGAAACACCCGCTCTACTAAAAATGCAAAAATTAGCCAGGCATGGTGGCAGATGGCTGACACCAGCTTCTGAGGATGGAGACTGAGGCATGAGAATTGCTTGAACCTGGAAGGTAAAGGTTGCAGTGAGTTGAGATCGTGCCACTGCACTCCAGTCTGGGCAACACAGTGAGACTCCATCCCCGTCCTCACAAAAAAAATAACGTTGTGTAGAGGAGGGTTTCTGTCATGTTGCCCAGGTTGGTCTCAAACCCCTGGGCTGAAATGATCCTCCCACTTTGGCCTCCCAAAGTGTTGGGGTTAAAGGCATGAGTCACTGCTCCCTTCAAGAATTTTGAAACGACATCAACCAAAGAACGATCAACTTTTTTGAAATAAAGACAGAGCTGTATTTAGAGGAAAACATTCAAGCTTTAAATTGTTCATATAAAAAAAAAAAAGACAGGATACACTTCTGTGCCATCGTAGGCTGCACTGTCAACATCCCAGACCAGCTGACTGTAGGTCAGATGGGAGTGTCCTTACAGAAATTAGTGACTTACCAGATCTGGATGTAGTCTAGAAGGTGCTCAGACCTCAGGAAGAACCAGGCAGGTACTCCAGACTTGAAGACTTTGGGTCTCTCCTGTGGGTCTTTAGAAGCTTTTATTGACCTTTCTAATCACAACTCCCACCCACGCCCCTCCACGTATCCGCTGCTAGCTTCCAATCAAAAAGTGATATCTGATTGCATTTCTGAAGCTCCAGCCAGTTAATCCTGATTGGGTTTTTGGCTCTCCCCAGATTAATGGATTGCATCAGATGTCCATTCATATCACATATCTATATTCACTTCATGAAGCAAGAAATTGTCAGTGTTAGGGATAGGGTAGAAGTCAAGAATACATTCATTCAAGGCCAGGTGAGGTGGCTCATACCTGTAATCCCAGCACTTTGGAAGGACAAGGTGAGTAGATCACCTGATGTCAGGGGTTCAAGACCAGCCAGGACAAAAAGGTGAAACCCTGTCTCTACAAAAATACAAAAATACAAAAATTAGCCCGGCATGATGGCAGGTGCCTGAAACACAGCGACTCAGGAGGCTGAGGCAGGAGAATTGCTTGAACCCAGGAGGCAATGGTTGCAGTGAGCCAAAATTGTGCCACTGCACTCCAGTCTGGGTGACAGAGGGACATTCTGTCAAAAAATAAAAAAATTAATTCATTCATGAACTCCACAAACACTGATGGAACTTTACTAATATGTGAACTTCATAGTCTTGAGTGTGAGGCAGGGAAGGATTTGATCTGTTCCCGACATTAGACAGAAAAATAAAATCTGAAAGTAGTGTTGTTAGGAGATCTTTGGCCACATCAAAATATGAAAATGCTTTATACTTTAAAAAGCTTTATAAAAACAGAGGAGTCATCCCTACAAAATCAGAATAAAAATCTCAATTTATCGAATGGTCTTGGGGATTTTATATAACCTAAGGTAGCAGATTATATGCTCGTTCTGGTGGAGGAGAGGTGCCACTGAGGGCGTGAGTGGTCTCAGGGCTTAGGTTAAGGCTTCTTTGGAAGAAATTGAAACCACAACTATAAACTTCATCAATTTAATCAGTGAAGAAGGGAGGGGGAGAAACAAAAATAAACCAAGCTTGCAACACATTCAGCATTCATCAGGAGGTCAGCTTGCTCTCTGACCTGGTTCCTTATGGTTGCTGGCAGCCTACTGTTCCAAAATCATATAGACCTTAGATTACAGTTCCCCTTAACTTCCCTGCAGACAACAATTTAAGCATTGTGAAACATTAACTTTTTTCATTTGACATATTCTTTCAGATTCTGCATGTCAGTGAAACTACTGATGCCAGCTCATCTAAATGGGCCCTGCAAGGCACTAACGCAAAGAATGCAGTTTCTAGATCCTGTTGACTTCTTCCCTCTTACCGCTACCCCAACTTTCCAGTCCCTTGCTATCCAGGATCCACTGGAAATGCTCAGTACTCCTTGGGGTGATGAATTTGAGGATCTCCTCCTAACTTCTCATTCAGCCACCCTGTGATCATTAAACTCTCTGCTGCAAACCCTGCTGTCTCACAATATTGCTAAGCTACTGTGCAGCAGGCATAGGAACCTGATGGTCCTGTAATAAAGTCATGTCAAAATTACAAATGGAAGTGAGGGTGGAGCTGGTCAGGGTTGAGCTGGGTTTTTAATGGGAACCTGGGAGTGAACCAAGACTTGCTGAACATGTTGGGGGTTATTGAGTGGGTGGAGGATGAATCTATCCAACATTGCATGGATGCCCCTTTGGTTTTGATCCTTATGACCAAGTATGAGTCTTTCAAAACAATTTATATAATCCTCCTTATATTTCCTTTCAAAACCTTCAACTTCCTTTATCTCCCCGAATAATCTCACATCTATTCCCATTTCTTTGCTTACTTCATAATACATTTTTTTTTTTTTTTTTACAGAGTCCTCTTCTCTGTTAAGTAGACCATATATTTTGTTGCCACACAAGATGAGTAACCTGGTTCTATGGACAGAAAGGGTCAAAAGGATCCCATTCCTCAACAGCTGGGGGTGATGTAAAGGCCATGGTTATTCCTTGTCATATCTGCACCTGCATATTGCCAGTGAAAACTTGCAGGGCACATTGGGCAGGCTTCCAAATTAACCACCTGTGGGAAGGTCTTTCGATTGGCTTACATCCTGTCCCTGAGCAAAGTGTCTGATCATGAGTTCATGAGTGCCTCAAACCCCACAACTACTGATGAAGGCTTCACCCACTGACAGTGAGAAGGACGCTGATTTGATTCTGATCATGAAGTTTTGCTGGTTGTCTTGCAAGGAATACGTTTTATCCTGTTATGTTGTCATCTAAAGCCAATGATTGTAACCTCTGTCTTGTCCCGTCCAATGGAAAAAAACAAAAACAAAAACTCAATTCTATTTGAGCCTTGCCAGGTCAATAAGACAAAAGAAAATTTAAAAACAAACTGATAGGAGGAGTCCCATTCCCTTCTT
Organism: Homo sapiens; assembly: GCF_000001405.40. NCBI lineage: Eukaryota > Metazoa > Chordata > Mammalia > Primates > Hominidae > Homo > Homo sapiens. The sequence continues at coordinate 156,126 of NW_015495298.1, forward strand.
TTAACCTTTCTTACAAAAGCATTCCAACTTGTAACAGACTTTGGAAAACACCCACTTTGTCAGTGTGTGTCTTCCAGGTCAATCCTCACATTTAGCTTCCAGTGAAGCTTTCGTTAATTATTTCTACCTCAACAGCCTTATCTTCTATTGACACAAGGTTGTATGGTAATGGTTTGAATTGGGGTGGGAAGAAAAAATATTTCTATGTCTTTTATAAAGTAATCCTTGCATGTCATCTCCATAGAAGAATGAGTAGGTTCCTCTCCAAATATGTCCTGAGTATTGATGCACCCAATAAACAAAACTAATATTTATTTCATATACTAGAGCTATAGATGCATTCTATTTCCCTCTAGAATCTCCAATGAACCAATATCTAGTTTCAGTAAGTTTCTCTGATTATATGGCAGAGGGTAACATGGTCATGTTCTGATTCTGTGTCTATGTCGATAACTATAGCGTTCCAGCCTTCATAATATGCATCAAACCAGAGTTTATTCTAGTGTGAGTCTGGCACACCATCTAGATTAGACCCAGTTACACTAATGTTTTCTATGCATAGAGATAAGTTACCAGTAATGAAATCAATAATAGTCATAGACCACTCATTTGCACCTATAGCTTCTTCTCAATGCCAAGTCATTTAATTATCAATATTAACCAACCTACCAAAGGAAGGATAACAAATCTTATCATGAATTTAGCATCCTCAATTGCTACCCAACTGTGTACGAAAGCAGGTTGTAGTATTAAGTGTGATCCTTCCCTTTCATCTAAATGACTCCATAGCCAGCAATTGCTTTGGTTAGTGAGAGTGGCTACATTTTGAACAGAAGATCTTAGAAAGTGTTTGGTTTGAGTGGTGAAAGTACCTAACAACATAAAATATAGGTTTGATAATTTTGTGTTAATACAAAACAAAACCAAGTCTCAGTCAATGGAAGAAGATCAAATGGAGTCTTGTTCCATTGTCTTGGAAAAGCTGTCTACCAGGTGATGATGTGTGCTTCTAGGGAAGGCTTTTCCTCAGATATCCTTAAGTTTAAGTCATCTGGTACAGTCCCATCCAATGCTGTTCATGGGCAGATTTCCCTTGGTGTCATTTCTAAAGGATGCAATCTCCAAATGCTAGGGCATGAAGGTCTAAGCATCACTGAAAGCCTCCTTCACCTAGTGGAAATAGTCTTTCAAATACTGCATCAAGGTCTTGCAGTATTGATTCATATTGTTACTGAACGATGGGCTCACTCTTCTAAGTGCATAGAACCCAATACTATGACACCATGCTTGAGAAAAGTAAAAAAGATTCAACCAGGCATGGTGGCTCACGCCTATAATCCCAGCACTTTAGGAGGCTGAGGCAGGCAGATCCCAAGGTCAGAGGTTTGAGACCAACCTGGCCAACATGGAGAAACCCCCTTTCTGCTAAAAATACAAAAGTTAGCTCAGTGTGGTGACATGTGCCTGTAATCCCAGCTACTCAGGAGGCTGAGGCAGGAGAACCACTTGAACCCAGGATGCAGAAGTTGCAGTGAGCCAAGGTAGCACCATTGTACTCCAGCCTGGGCAACAGAGACTCTGTCTCTAAACAAAAAATAAAAAGAATGCAGTCTCCTTTATTGGTTCAGCTAATTTTAGTTTCAAGATACAGTTTGTTCACTCAACCTTTGTAGAATACGAAGGATAATGAAGTTAATATTAGTGCCATTGGATCAGTAAAATCTTACCTGTGTGATAACCTGCCCAGTAACTGAGTTCTCCTCCCATTGGAGATTTCTCCAGAGATGCTCCAGAAAGGAAGCAAATTTTATAATCATTTTTTTTGACTATGACTGTGGCATCAGCCTTTCTAAAAAGGTAATCTACAACCCATCCTGAAAACGGACACACAATCACAAGAATTGTAGCCTTTTTACATGGCTCACTGACATCATTGGTCCACGACAACCCCGTTTCTTGCAGCTATATGTGTGTATGTCTACCTATTCATATCTGTATCTATTTCCATTTATTACCATGATTCACTTCCACTCTCCTTTCCATAGACAGCCACTCTACTCTTTGACCTAGCCTTGAATTTGCTTGTGACCTCATGGAACATAAGTATATGGAAAGCATATAGACTATATACTTGCATTTTGTATGTGTATTTATTTAAATCCACATATATGTTATAGCGTATGGTGCTACAGAAGAGGACCTCACAATTAATTGTCCAGTCCCAGACACTTTGGAGAGAATAGACATGCTGTTATAATAATTATTATTATTTTTGGAGATAGTGTCTGGCTCTGTGGCCAGGCTGGAGTGCAATGGCATGATCTCGGCTCACTGCAACCTCTACCTCTTGGGTTCAAGTGCCTCTCCTGCCTCGGCCTCCTGAGTACCTGGGATTACAGGTGCCCGCCACCACGCCTGGCTCTTTTTTGTATTTTTAGTAGGAATGGAGTTTCTCCATGTTGGCCAGGCTTGTCTTGAACTCCTGACCTCAGCTGATCCACCCGCCTCAGCCTCCCAAAGTGCTGGGAATACAGGCCTGAGCCACTGCACTCGGCCTCTCATGTGCCTTTTTAAATTGATGGGAAAATGACACCCAGGATAATTTATGGCCATTGTGGGAATTATTGGAAATCTTTAAGACTGTTTTTCTTACAAAACCACAATTGTAGGATTAAACAGTCTGAATGGGATGCTAGCACGTAGAGCCTTCTAAACTCTCTTTCTCTTCTTTTTTTGGGGAATTTGGGATCTGCCTACTGATTACAATTAATTGGTTTTCTTAAAAAACTGTTTGGTTAAGATTTTTTTTTTTGACAAGGTCTCACTCTGTTGCCCAGGCTGGAGTACAGCAGTGGTGTGAACATGGCTCACTGCAGCCTCAATCTTCTGAGCTCAAGGGATTCTCCCACCTCAGCCACCCAAGTAGCTGGGACTACAGATCCATGCCACCATGCCCGGCTAATTTTTTAAAAAAGAAGCAGGGCGTTGGTGGCTCACTGGTGTAATCCCAGCACATTGGGAGGCCAAGGCAGGTGGATCACTTGAGGTTAGGAGTTCAAGACCAGCCTGGCCAACATGGTGAAACCCTGTTTCTACCAAAAATATAAAAATTAGCCAGGCATGGTGGCGGGTGGCTATAATCGCAGCTACTCAGGAGGCTGAGGCATGAGAATCGCTTGAGCCTGGGAGGCAGAGGTTGGAGTGAGTTGAGATCATGCCACTGCACTCCAGCCTGGGTAACAGAGCCAGATACCATCCCCACCCCTCAAAACAAATGTTTTGTAGAGATAGGGTTTTGCCATGTTGCCCAGGTTGGTCTCGAGCCCCTGGGCTCAAATGATCCTCCTGCCTTGGCCTCCCAAAGTGTTGGAATTGTAGGCATGAGTCACTGCTCCCACCAAGAATTTTTTTCTTTAAATTCCTGGTTTAATAAGGACTTGTTTATTTTGAGGAAAAAAGGTCCCAAACATGGAGCTGTTCACAAAAATAACCCACAGTATCAACTTTAGAAAACACATTTTAAGAGTATAACACTAATTATTTTTCTGAGGATGCATTTGACATGCCAACTCTCATTCACAAAAATACATTGTTAGATTTTTGTTGAACTGCCCCACACAGCACACTGACATGGGGTGTAACACACATACTTCTAACTCCAAGCTGCTTTCAGGAGCTACTCAACTCAATGAGATTGCCTTTGCAGTTAGGGAAGCAACTATTGAACTTATGTATAAATGAAAAGAACTGTATTCCCTGCATAACAAGAGATTATTTTGGAGACAGTTGATAAAAACCATACATCCTTTTTACTGTTAAGTCATAAGGAGGTATCTAAATTAAAAGCAAAAATTGCAGGGTAAGACTTAAGAAAACTTCTAGGAGCATCAAGGGAAGTGAAAATGGAACTAGGTGCAGGGCAATATGAATTAATGAATGTGGGAAGGACAAGGATGGGGAGAACAGTAAGCATGTGCTGAAGATGCTAAGGGAGAGGATCTGGTGAAAAATTTGATGTTAGACAAGCACCTAGGTAAAGAAACAATGGGATAAGATTTCTCAACCCCACTATGTGCTTAAGAGTCATCCTGGCCATTCGCCCTGTCTCTGTCATCCTCTCCTTCCTCAGCCCCTTTTTCATCATCCTTGATCAACTCCAGCTGGTTGTCCCCCTGATCTTCATTATCATCATCACACAGTAGGTCCCCCTCCTCAACAGAGTCATCTGCACCCCCCTCAGACTCCATCTTCACGTGAGTCTTATCCTTCTTCGAGGAGCTGCTGGTCTGCTCCTCTTCAGACTTAGCATTCTTTACCTCTACTCCTTGCTTGCAATGTTCCTTTTCAATTTTTTCCAGGTTTTCCAGGAGAGAATCCACTTTCTGTTTTATCTGGGTCAACTCCTGCTTAATGGCCTGAAGGTCATCTCCTTTCAGCTTTCCAGACTTGGAAGATCCCCGCTTTCCACTCTTAGAATTGAAGCCACTTTTGCCCCTTCGTGAGGTGTTTCCTGATATGCGCTGGCGTTTCGAGGGCACTACAGCCAGAGCAATGGGAGGAGGAGGAGGTACACGTGCTGGGAAACTGTACATCCCACCATAATAATCCCGTTGCAGGTTATAGTCCAAGTCAAAAGAGGAGCCGTACATCTCTGCTGCTGATCGTTTCACACCTGCGTTTCCTCGGTTCACTTTTGGCTCTGCAGCCAGGTTAATATCTACAACCTGGCTAGCAATCATTCTGCCATCCTCTCCTGCTACAGCAGCCCGGGCATTTTTCTCCTTATCATATTGAACGAAGGCAAAGCCCTTATGAACAGAGCAGCCCGCAATTTTGCCATACTTGGAAAAGATCGCCTCCACATCCGATTTCTTGACAACAAGAGTGTTGAGATTCCCAATGAACACACGGGAGTTCATGGAGTGAGGATCCATCTTGTTGGTAACGTTGCTGGCCATTGTGTTGGATGATAAGGTTTCTCAAAAAGCCAAAAACAGGAGGCGGGAGGGAGAAGAGATTCGATTCTAAGTCTCCTACTGCCGGGTTCTACGTGGAGAAGCTGACTGCGGCTCGAGGCCAGAAATGCAGCCAAACCAGCTCAGTCTTCGTCTCTTCACAAAATGGCTCCCAACAAGAATTCTGAAATGACGTAAAGAAAAGCACAATCAACATTTTTGAAATAAAGACAAAACTGCATTTAGAAAAAAAAATCAAAGCTTCAAAGTGTTCATATGAAAAAAAGAAAAAAAAGACAGGATATAGCTCTGCTCTGTCGTAGGCTGCACTGTCACCATGCTACATCGGCTGACTGTAGGTCCCATGGGAGTGTCCTTACAGAAATTAGTGACTTACCAGATCTGGGCTCAGTTTGCAGGGTGTTCAGACCTCAGGAAGAACCAAGCAGGAACTCCAGGCTTGAAGACTTTGGGTCTCTCCTGTGGGTCTTTAGAAGCTTTTATTGACCTTTCTAATCACAACTCCCACCCACGCCCTTCCACGTATGCACTGCTAGCTTCCAATCAAAAAGCAATATCTCATTGCATTTCTGAAGTTCCACCCAGCTAATCCTGATTGGGTTTTTGGCTTTCCCCAGATTAATGGATTGAACCAAATATCCATTCATATCACATACCCATATTCATTTCATGAATCAAGAAATTGACAGCATTAGGGATAGAGTGGAAATCAAGAATTCATTCATTTAAGGCCAGCTGAGTTGGCTCATGCCTGTAATCCCAGCACTTTGGGAGGCCAAGACAGGCGGATCACCTGAGGTCAGGAGTTCAAGACAAGCTTGACCAATATGGTGAAACCCTGTCTCTACAAAAATACAAAATTAGCCGGGCATGATGGCGGCTGCCTGTAATCCGGATACTTGGGAGGCTGAGGTGGGAGAATTGCTTGAACCCAGGAGGCTGAGGTTGCAGTGAACCGAGATTGCACACTGCCCTCCAGACTGGGTGACAGAGGGAGACTCTGTCAACAACAACAACAACAACAACAACAACAACAGAATGCCTTCATTCACGAACTCCACAAGCACTGATGGAATTTTACTGATATGTCACCTTCATAGCCCTGGGTGTGAGGCAGGGAAGGGGTTGATCTGTTCTGGACATTAGACAGAAAAATAAAACCTGAGAATAGTGTTGTTGGGAGATCTTTGGCCACATCAATATTTTAAAAATGCTTTATAGTTAAAATAGCTTCCTGACCTTCCTTAACCTGAACTGCTTGGTTCCCTAGAAGCAGAAATTGATCATATTAGAACCCAAACTCATACCAACCTTGACCTTCATGAAGTACTCAAGTGTTTCTGCTCTTCTTCCTCATGTGATGTAGAAAGTATTAAAAGTGATGAGTTTAGGCCGGGCACGGTGGTTCACGCCTGTAATCTCAGCACTTTCAGAGGCCGAGGTGGGTGCATCACCTGTGGTCAGGAGTTCCAGACCAGCCTGGGCAACATGGTGAAACTCTGTCTCTACTAAAAATACAAAAACTAGTTGTGTGTGGTGGCCTGTGCCTGTAATTCCAGCTAACTGGGAGACTGAGGCAGGAGAATCACTTGAACCGGGAGGCAGAGGTTGCAGTGAGGCGAGATCGCACCATTGCACTCCAGCCTGGAAAGCAAGAGTGAAACTCCATCTCAAAAAAAAATTAATAAATAAATACATTATAAATAAATAAATTAATTAATGCTTTAAAGAAAAAAGAAATAAACTTTGCCTACAAATTTCATATGCAATTGAATACCTCTTAAATTTTGATGTGAACCGACCAGGCATGGTGGCTGAGGCCTGTAATCCCAGCACTTTGGGAGGCCGAGGCGGGCAGACCACGAAGTCAGGAGATTGAGACCATCCTAGTTAACATGGTGAAACCCCGTCTTTACTAAAAATACAAAAAATTAGCCAGGTGTAGTGGCATGCACCTGTAGTCCCGGCTATTTAGGAGGCTAAGGCAGGAAAATTGCTTGAACCGGGGAGGCAGAGGTCGAAGTGAGCTGAGATCGTGCCACTGCATTCCAGCCTGGTGACGGAGCGAGACTCCATCTCAAAAAATAAATGAATAAAATAAATAAATCAATAAAAATATTGTGACAGGAACCAACATTGCTCAACTTGTACACTAATGTCTTACAAAATCCTTTCCTTGTCACCTTCAAATCTCCATTTCAAATGCTACACTCTGCATAACTCTACCACTTTGTTGCCATTTTCTGATGATGGAGAAGACCATACGTGTGTGTGTGTGGCATCAGAACTATTGACTCCTCCTATTGACGTTTAAGATATTCCATTACACAAACCTGGGTTCATACTTTTTGTTGATAGATCTTATGCCAAAAATGTAGGCAAAAAATGCCAAGCAGGAAATGCTATCACTTCTGAAGATGAATTCATAGAGATGGAAATTCTTTCAGAATTTATTTTTCCAGCTTTTTTCTTTGTTTGTTTGTTCGTTTGTGTTTGTTTGTTTTGAGACGGAGTCTCGCTCTGTCACCAAGTTGGAGTGCAGTGGTGAAATCTTGGCTGACTGCAACCTCCTCCTCCTGAGTTCAAGCGACTCTCATGCCTCAGTCTCTCGAGTAGCTAGGACTATGGGTGGGCGCCACCATGCTCAGCTAATTTTTGTATTTTTAGCAGAGACAGGGTTTCACCATGTTGGCTAGGATGGTCTCAATTTTTTGGCATCGTGATCTACCTGCCTTGGCCTCCTGAAGTGCTGGGATTAGAGGTGTGAGCCACCACCGTGCCCGGCCTTTTTTTTTTTTTTCCTTTTGAGATGGAGTCTCACTCTATTGCCCGGGCTGGGAAAGGGACTCCTCCTATCAATTATTTTTTTAAATTTTCTTTTGTTTTATAGACCTGACAAGGCTCAAATAGAGTTGACTTTTTGTTTTTGTTTTTTCCATTGGAAGGGACAAACAGAGGTTACAATCATTGGCTTTAGATGACAAGATAAAAGAATAAAACATATTCCTTGCAAGACAACCAGCAGAACTTCATGATCACCATCAAATCAGTGCCTTCTCACTGTCAGTGGGTGGAAGCCTTCATCAATACTTGTAGAGTTTGAAGCACTCATGAACTCACGATCAGACTCTTTACTCAGAGACAGGATGTAAGCCAAGCGAAAGACCTTCCATAGGTGGTGAATTTGGAAGCCTGCCCAATGTGACCTGCAAGTCTTGCTTCACTCCCAGGTTCCCATTAAAAACCCAGCTCAACCCTGACCAGCTCCACCCTCACTTCCATTTGTAATTTTGACATGACTTTATTAAAGGACCATCAGGTTCCTATGCCTGCTGCACAGTAGTTTAGCAATATTCTGAGACAGCAGGGTTTGCAGCAGAGAGTTTAATGATCACAAGGTGGCTGAATGAGAAGCTAGGAGGAGATCCTCAAATTCATCTCCCCAAGGAGTACTGAAGGTTTCCAGTGGATCCTGGATAGCAAGGGGCCGGAAAGTTGGGGTAGCGGTAAGAGGGAAGAAGTCAACAGGATGTAGAAACTGCATTATTTGGTGAGTTGGTGCATTGCATGGCCCTTCAGATCAGCTGGCATCAGCAGTTTCACTGACATGCAGAACCTGAAAGAATATCTCAGATGAAAAAGTTAATGTTTTACAATGCTTAAATGGTTGTCTGCAGGGAAGTTAAGGGGAACTGTAATCTAAGGTCTATATGATTTTGGAACAGTAGGTTGCGGCAACCATGAGGAACCAGGTCAGAGAGCAAGAAGACCTCCTGATGAATGCTGAATGTGTTCCAAGCTTGGTTTATTTTTGTTTCTCTCCCTCCCTTCTTCACTGATTAAATTTATAAATTTTAGAGATGTGGTTTCAATTTCTTCCAAAGAAGCCTTAACCTAAGCCCTGAGACCACTCACGCCCTCAGTGGCACCTCTCCTCCACCAGAACGAGCATGTAATCTGCTACCTTAGGTTATACAAAATCCCAAAGACCATTCAGTATATTGAGATTTTTATTCTGATTTCGTAGGGACGACTCCTCTGTTTTTATAAAGCTTTTTAAAGTAGAAAGCATTTTTATATTTTGATGTGGCCAAAGATCTCCTAACAACACTACTTTCAGATTTTATTTTTCTGTCTAATGTCGTAAACAGATCAAATCCGTCCCTGTCTCACACTCAAGACTATGAAGTTCACATATTAATAAAAAAAAAATCAGTGTTTGTGGAGTTCATGAATGAATGATTTTTTTATTTTTTGACAGAATCTCCCTCCGTCACCCAGACTGGAGTGCAGTGGCACAATTCTGGCTCACTGCAACCATTGCCTCCTGGGTTCAAGCAATTCTCCTGCCTCAGCCTCCTGAGTCGCTGTGTTTCAGGCACCTGCCATCATGCCGGGCTAATTTTTGTATTTTTGTATTTTTGTGGAGACGGGGTTTCACCTTTTTGACCTGACTGGTCTTGAACCCCTGACATCAGGTGATCTACTCACCTTGTCCTTCCAAAGTGCTGGAATTACAGGTATGAGCCACCTTGCCCACCAGTGAATGAATGTATTCTTGACTTCTACCCTATCCCTAACACTGTCAATTTCTTGCTTCACGAACTGAATATAGATATGTGATATGAATGGATATCTGACTCAATCCATTAATCTGGGGAGAGCCAAAAACCCAATCAGGATTAACTGGGTGGAGCTTCAGAAATGCAATCAGATATGGCTTTTTGATTGGAAGCTAGCAGTGCACCCGTGGAAGGGCGTGGGTGGGAGTTGTGATTAGAAAGGTCAATAAAAGCTTCTAAAGACCCACAGGAGAGACCCAAAGTCTTCAAGCCTGGAGTTCCTGCCTGGTTCTTCCTGAGGTCTGAGCACCTTCTAAACTACATCCAGATCTGGTAAGTCACTAATTTCTCTAAGGACACTCCCATCTGACCTAGAGTCAGTCAGTCTGGGATGGTGACAGTGCAGCCTACGATGGCACAGAGCTATATCCTGTCCTTTTTTTTTTTCATATGAACAATTGGAGGCTTTGAATTTTTTCCTCTAAATGCAGTTCTGTCTTTATTTCAAAAAAGTTGATTGTGCTTTGGTTTAGGTCATTTCAAAATTCTTGAAGGGAGCCGTGACTTATGCCTTTAACCCCAACACTTTGGGAGGCCAAAGTGGGAGGATCATTTCAGCCCAGGGGTTTGAGACCAACCTGGGCAACATGACAAAAACCCTCCTCTACACAACGTTTTTTTTTTGAGGGTGGGGATGGAGTCTCACTGTGTTGCCCAGACTGGAGTGCAGTGGCACGATCTCAACTCACTGCAACCTTTACCTCCCGGGTTCAAGCAATTCTCATGCCTCAGTCTCCATCCTCAGAAGCTGGTGTCACAGACATCTGAAACCATGCCTGGCTAATTTTTGTATTTTTAGTAGAGGTGGGGTTTCACCACGCTGGCCAGGTTTGTCTCGAACACCTGACCTCAAGTGATCCACCTGCCTTGGCCTCCCAAAGTGCTGGGATTACAGCTGTGAGTCACTGGTGCTTGGCCTCTACTTTTTTTTATTTTAATTAGCCGAGCATGGTGACATGCATCTGTAGTCCCAGCTATTTGGGTGGCTGGTGTGGGAGAATCACTTGAGCCCAGAAGATTGAGGCTGCAGTGAGCCATGCTCACACCACTGCTGTACTCCAGCCTGGGCAAAAGAGAGAGACCCTGTCCAAAAAACAAAAACAATATCTTAACCAAAAAGAATCTATGACCTTAATTTTAAACCAATCACGTCCTCACTGTAATTCTTCCACCCGAATGGAGACATGGGTGTGGGGGTGCATGCCTGTAATCCCAGCTACGTGGAAGGCTGAAGCATGAGAATTGCTTGAATCTCAGAGGTGGAGGTTACAGTGAGCTGAGATGGCGCCGCTGCACTCCAGCCTGGGCGACAAAGTGAGACTCAGCTTCCCCCACACCAAAAACAATTAGATTATACCACCCAGGTGATCATTGGATACATGAGGATTTCTATTGTGTGTTCTTGGGGACTGTCAACTCTGTCTTTGAAAACTGTTTTAACTCTGAAATATTTTGATAAATTTGATGTGGCCGAGGATCCCTCAACAAAGATACTTTCAAGTTTTTTCTTTCTGTCTAATATCAGGAAGAGATTCAACCCTTCCCTATCTCACACTCAGGACTGTGAAGGACACATATTAGTAAAACCCCATGTTTGTGAAGGGAATCAGTGAATGAGTCCTGGACTTACACCCTATCCCTAAATCTTTCACTTTGATGGATGAATATCTAATTGCATCAGTAAATCTGGAAGAAAGCCAAAAATCCAATCAGGATTAACTCGGTAGAAGTGGAATCAAATGTAGTTCTCTCTCTCTCTTTTTTCTTTTTCTTTTTTTTTTTTTTTTTTTTTAAATCTAGCCTATTTCCCAGGCTGGAGTTCAGTGGTGTATTGTCAGCTCACTGCAACCTCTGCCTCCTGGGTTCAAGGGATCCTCCTGTCTCAGCCTCCCTAGTAGCCTGGACTATAGGCGCAGACCACCGCAACTGGCTAATTTTTGTAATTTTAGTAGAGGTAGGGTTTTACCATGTTGGCCAGGCTTGTCTCAAACTCCTGACCTCAGATAATCCACCTGCCTCTGCCTCCCACAGTGCTGGGATTACAGGTGTGAGCCACTTCGTCTGGCCTTGAATGAATGTATTCTTGACTTCTACCCTATCCCTAACACTGTCAATTTCTTGCTTCGTGAAGTGAATATAGATATGTGATATGAATGGACATCTGATTCAATCCATTAATCTGGGGAGAGCCAAAAACCCAATCAGGATTACCTGGGTGGAGTGGAGCTTCACAAATGCAATCAGATATCATTTTTTGATTGGAAGCTAGCAGCGGATACGTGGAGGGGCGTGGGTGGGAGTTATGATTAGAAAGGTCAATAAAAGCTTCTAAAGACCCACAGGAGAGACCCAAAGTCTTCAAGCCTGGAGTTCCTGCTTGGTTCTTCCTGAGGTCTGAGCACCTTCTAAACTACATCCAGATCTGGTAAGTCACTAATTTCTGTAAGGACACTCCCATCTGACCTACAGTCAGTCAGTCTGGGATGGTGACAGTGCAGCCTAAGATGGCAGAGAGCTATATCCTGTCCTTTTTTATATATATATATGAACAATTTGAAGCTTTGAATGTTTTCCTCTAAATGCAGTTCTGTCTTTATTTCAAAAAAGTTGATTGTGCTTTGGTTGATGCCATTTTAAAATTCTTGAAGGGAGCAGTGACTCATGCCTTTAACCCCAACACTTTGGGAGGCCAAAGTGGGAGGATCATTTCAGCCCAGGGGTTTGAGACCAACCTGGGCAACATGACAAAAACCCTCCTCTACACAACGTTTTTTTTGAGGGTGGGGATGGAGTCTCACTGTGTTGCCCAGACTGGAGTGCAGTGGCACGATCTCAACTCCCTGCAACCTTTAACTCCTGGGTTCAAGCAATTCTCATGCCTCAGTCTCCATCCTCAGAAGCTGGTGTCACAGACATCTGAAACCATGCCTGGCTAATTTTTGTATTTTTAGTAGAGGTGGGGTTTCACCACGCTGGCCAGGTTGGTCTCGAACACCTGACCTCAAGTGATCCACCTGCCTTGGCCTCCCAAAGTGCTGGGATTACAGCTGTGAGTCACCATGCATCTGTAGTCCCAGCTATTTGGGTGGCTGGTGTGGGAGAATCACTTGAGTCCAGAAGATTCAGGCTGCAGTGAGCCATGCTCACACCACTGCTGTACTCCAGCCTGGGCAAAAGAGAGACACTCTGTCCAAAAACAAAATCAATCAAAAAGGATCTTTGACCTTAATTTTAAACCAATCACATCCTCTTCCACCCAAATGGAGACATGGCTGTGGGGGGTGCCTGCCTGTAGTCCCAGCTACGTGGAAGGCTGAAGCATGCGAATTGCTTGAATCTTGGAGGCAATCTTGGAGGTAACAGTGAGCCAAGATGGTGCCACTGCACTCCAGCCTGGGCGACGAAGTGAGACTCAGCTCCCTCAGCACCAAAAAAAATTATATGACCCAGGTGATCATCGGATACATGAAGATTTCTATTGTGTTTTCTTAGGGACTGTCATCTCTGTCTTTGAAAACTGTTTTAACTCTGAAATATTTTGATAAATTTGATGTGGCCAAGGATCCCTCAACAAAGATACTTTCAAGTTTTCTTTCTTTCTGTCTAATATCAGGAAGAGATTCAACCCTTCCCTGTCTCACACTCAGGACTTTGAAGGACACATATTAGTGGAAGTCCATGTTTGTGAAGGGAATCGGTGAATGAGTCCTGGACTTTCACCCTATCCCTAAATCTTTCATTTTGATGGATTAATATCTAATTCGATCAGTTATTCTTTAAGAAAGCCAAAAATCCAATAAGGATTAACTGGGTAGAGATTAAGAAGTCTAGTCAAATGTAGCTCTCTCTGTCTCTCAGTTCAATCTAGCCTATTCCCCAGGCTGGAGTGGAGTAGTATAATGTCAGCTCACTGCAACTTCTGCCTCCTGGGTTCAAGTGATCCTCCTACCTCAGCCTCCCTAGTAGCTTGGACTACAGGCGCAGACCACTGCACCTGGCTAATTTTTGCTGTCTTAGTAGAGGCAGGGTTTTACCATGTTGGCCAGGCTCGTCTTGAACTCCTGATCTCAGATGATCCACCTGCCTCGGCCTCACAAAATGCTCAGATTACAGGTGTGAGTCACTGCACCCAGCCAAAGTGGTTCAGTTTGAATATGTGTAAGAGGTGTGCATTGGAAACATCTATCTTGAGAATGATGCATAACAGTGTCACATAGCTTTCAAAGCTTCTCACTGAAATTTTCAATAACGAGGCTGGGGCAGAGGCTCACACCTATAATCCCAGTATGTTGGGAGGCCAAGAGGGGTAGATTGCTTGAGACTAGGAGTTCAAGACCAGCTTGGACAACATAGCGAAATCCACTGTCTTTACAAAAAGTCAAAACATAAAAGATGAGCTGGGTGTGGTGATGCATAACTGTGGTCCCAGCTACTTGGGAGGCTGAGGGGGAAGAATCCTTTGAGCTGGGAGGTCAAGGCTGCACTGAGCTGAGATCCCACCACTACACTCCAGGCTGGGTGACAGAGCAAGACCCTGTCAGAAAGAGTGAGAGAGGGAGAGAGAGAAAGAGAGAGAGAATGAGAGAAGGGATGCAGGGAAAGAAGACAAGAAAGAAAGAAGGGAGAGAGAGGGGGAAAGAAAGAAAGAAGGGAGGGAGAGAGGGAAAGAAGGAAAGAAGAAAGAGAGAGAAAGAGAAAGCAAGCTTAAATAATGAAAAGAAAACAAATAGAACCTGTTCTAGGGATGTCCCATGAATGTTCCCAACAAACTTATTTGTAGGAACTGAAAATGTGGGCATGTAGGCTTGTGACACTCCCATTCCCATTGTTTTAGAACCTTGAGTAATCAGTAATTTCCCCCAATGGTAGGAGGGGTTCACTTTCAGGTTCCTCCACACTCACTAGTCACTGGATGGAGCACTGGATAGAAAGGAAGGGCTCGTGGTGACCCTGCTTCCTCACTGCTTCGGAGACGCTCATGCTGATGCAGCAGAGGCAGAATGCTGGCTTAATGGCCACTGAGTACAGAGTAGAATTGGAGTAAACTGAGGGCTGTTTCACCATTGCCAGAGCAGTGAGTTTGGCCATAGGAGAAGATGAGATTGCATGGGCTTGGCCTGAGAGTGATGCCTTTTCTCTGGGTTTGTCCTCTGGAAGTTTTCCCTGCAGATTCATGAAGATGAGCATCCGGACTCCACCCAGACTCCTGGAGCTGGCGGGGCGGAGCCTGCTGAGGGACCAAGCCTTGGCCATGTCCACCCTGGAGGAGCTGCCCACAGAACTTTTCCCCCCACTGTTCATGGAGGCCTTCAGCAGGAGACGCTGTGAGGCCCTGAAGCTGATGGTGCAGGCCTGGCCCTTCCGCCGCCTCCCTCTGAGGCCTCTGATAAAGATGCCTTGTCTGGAGGCCTTCCAAGCTGTGCTCGATGGGCTGGATGCACTGCTTACCCAAGGGGTTTGTCCCAGGTGAGGTGGCCCAGGTGGGCTGGTGGGGAGGGCCCAGGTGTCCAACTGAAGGAACAGCTGGGTCATGTGAAGTGAGGAGGCCCAAGGGGGATGGTGGTGGTGAGGAAGCCGAGAGGACTTGGCCATTCACCAGCTCCTCAGGGAAAGCACTGCTCACCACGCAAGGTCCATGGAGGTAACAGGAACCTCTCCTCTAATGGCACTGAAAGGCACCATGAAAAGTGAGAACTGGGCCGGGCACGGTGGCTCACAATGTAATCCCAGCACATTGGGAGGCTGAGGTCAAGAGTTGGAGGCCAGCCTGTCCAACATGGTAAACCCCAACTCTACTAAAAATACTAAAATTAGCTGGGCATGGTGGTGGGCTCCTGTAATCCCAGCTACTTGTGAGGTTGAGGCAGGAGAATCATTTGAACCCAGGAAGCAGAGGTTGCAGTGAGGTGACATCACACCACTGCACTCTAGCCTGGGCGACAGAGGGAGACTTGGTCTCAAAAAAAAAAACAAAAAAATGTGGAAGTGGGTAGGATCCAAGGGGAAAACAGAGTGAAGAAAAGTCAGAGAGAGGGACAAGAAGCAGGGAGGGGAGGAGCTGCTATCCAGGATGTGGAGTTTAAATTCAGAAATGAGTTCTTAAATTCTCAGTCTCACCTCTATTTTCCCACAGGAGGTGGAAACTTCAAGTGCTGGATTTACAGGATGTCTGTGAGAACTTCTGGATGGTTTGGTCTGAAGCTATGGCCCGTGGGTCCTTCCTCAATGCCAAGAGGAACAAAACACCAGTGCAGGACTGTCCAAGGATGAGAGGACAGCAGCCCTTGACTGTGTTCGTAGAACTTTGGCTCAAGAACAGGACTCTGGATGAATACCTCACCTACCTCCTTCTATGGGTCAAGCAGAGGAAAGATTTACTACACCTGTGCTGTAAGAAGCTGAAAATTTTGGGAATGCCCTTCCGCAATATCAGAAGCATCCTGAAAATGGTGAACCTAGACTGTATCCAGGAGGTGGAAGTGAATTGCAAGTGGGTACTGCCCATCCTGACACAGTTTACCCCATACCTGGGCCACATGAGGAATCTTCAGAAGCTCGTTCTCTCCCACATGGATGTCTCTCGCTACGTTTCCCCAGAGCAGAAGAAGGAGATTGTTACCCAGTTCACCACTCAGTTCCTCAAGCTGCACTGCCTCCAAAAGCTTTATATGAACTCTGTTTCTTTCCTCGAAGGCCACCTGGACCAGCTGCTCAGGTGAGGGAGGGTGGTGAGCTTTCTCTGCAGACCACAGCAGAGCCTGTTTCACTAAACGCTAGTGGGCATCTACTGTGAGCCAGCCTATGAGGATGAAACAGTGAAGGGGACACTAGAATGTCCATACATTGTCCTGTTGGCGGCCCTGTCCTGAAATGGGTATCATGCAACCATCCCAATAGAGGCAGCGGGATCAGCTAGGGGAGATGCTATAGAGAGGTTGTCATACTAGGAAGCTAGCTACTGGGGGGTTCAGATCTAGTGAGGGTGCCTTTCTGAATTCTTCCTGAGGACGTGTGTCTAAGTTAAGATGATGAAAAATAGGCCAGGGACGGTGGCTCATGCCTGTAATCCTATCACTTTGGGAGTCTGAGGCAAGAGGATAGCTTGAGCCTAGGAGTTTAAGACCAGTCTGGGTAACATCCCAAGACCCCTGTCAGAAGTGAAGAAATAAAAGTAAAAACAAACAAGATAACTTTTTTTTTTTCTGAGATGAATTTTCACTTTGATCATCCAGGGTAAAGTGCACTTGTGACATCTCAGCTCGCAGCAACTTCTGCCTCCCAGGTTCAAGCGATTCTCCTGCCTCAGCCTCTTGAGTGCCTGGGATTACAGGCATGAGTCAGCACACCTGGCTAATTTTTATATTTTAAGTAGAGACAGGGTTTCACCATGTTGGCCAGGATATTCTCCAACTCCTGACTTCAGGTGATCCGCCCACCTTGGACTCCCAAAGTGCTGGGATTATAGGCGAGAGCTACCACGCCCAGCCAACAAGATAATTTTTAAGCAGATGATGTAAAGTAGGGAAGTGAAGTGGGCACTGAAGAGGGGAATGCTCAGCAAACCTGCACATGTCAGAAAATCAGCTTTGTGCCCCATAGTTTGGTGAACATGAATGATCCCATCTCTAATTCCCTGTTGTAAAAGTGTTTTGAGCTCCAGGTAAATTAATTACCTAAGCAATGCATGATTCTGAAACAGAGGGTCAGGGAGCAGGCACAAAGAATGGTGAAAGTGATAGATGGTTTGCTGATGATACAGGCATGGCAGGGACGCCTACAGCCCGCCCACCCCAGCTGATGTTGCAGGATCCTGTCTGGGTTTGTCCTTTATGCCTGAATCTCCACTGGGCTTCTGTGGCCCAGGGATGTGGTTTTCTGCCTGACAGATGAGGAAAGGGAGCTTTAGGGATTCTGTGAACTTGATCCATTCCTATAAATGATGGTGAAATGACTCAGCCTCAAATGGAATTATTTTTTTTCCTTCTTTTTTTTTAATACAGAGTCTCTCTCTGTCACCCAGGCTGGAGTGTAGTGGCATGATCTCTGCTCACTGCAACCTACACCTCCTGGGTTCAAACGATTCTTCTGCCTCAGCTTCCCAAGTAGCTGGAATTGCAGGCTCCCCCCACCACACCTGGCTAATTTTTGGATTTTTAGTAGAGACGAGGTTTTGCCATGTTCAGCAGGCTGGTCTCAAACTCCTGATCTCAAGGAATCCACCAGTCTCAGCCTCCCAAAGTTCTGGGATTACAGGTGTGAGTTACTGGGCCGGCTCTAAGGTGGAATTGACCTCGGTGGCAAAGCTCTTCATCACACATCATCCTAAGTGTTGACCATCAGGCCATCAGAATGACCCTGGACTTGGGCAAAATGGTCTCCATCCATTACCATGAAGCCATTCCCCACCACCCTCCACTCACCCCTATGATTCCCCAGAATTAACTTCTTGCTCTCTCTCCCCAGCTGTCTGAAGACCTCGTTAAAGGTCCTCACAATAACTAACTGTGTGCTTTTGGAATCAGACTTGAAGCATCTATCCCAGTGCCCGAGTATCAGTCAACTAAAGACCCTGGACCTGAGTGGCATCAGACTGACCAATTACAGTCTTGTGCCTCTCCAAATTCTCCTAGAAAAAGTTGCAGCCACCCTTGAGTACTTGGATTTAGATGACTGTGGCATCATAGACTCCCAAGTCAACGCCATCCTGCCTGCCCTGAGCCGCTGCTTTGAGCTCAATGCCTTCAGCTTCTGTGGAAATCCCATCTCCATGGCCACCCTGGAGAACCTGCTGAGCCACACAATCATACTCAAAAACTTATGCGTGGAGGTGTATCCTGCCCCGCAGGAGAGTTATGGTGCTGATGGTACTCTCTGCTGGAGCAGATTTGCTCAAATTAGGGCTGAGCTGATGAACAGAGTGAGGGACTTAAGGCACCCCAAGAGGATCTTTTTCTGTATTGACAACTGCCCTGACTGTGGCAACAGGTCATTTTATGACCTGGAGGCAGATCAATACTGCTGTTGAATGCCTGCCTATTTGGATGGGTATGTCAAACGCTTTCTTCTGGACACTTGGAAACTAAAACCTAGGTCTTAGGTACATCCTAAAGGGAGCACAGAACCCATCATTTCACACATAGGCTCTGAAAGTGGGAAAGGAATGCTGATCAAGCAGGGGCAGGACTTGGGGGAAATGTTGCCATGGATTCGACGGGACTTTGGGGACCTGTATCCTGTAGAGTCGAAAATGGGAATCTGAATGTCTAGAGTGGAATTCAGGCTTGAGAATACATGAGGGAGTTACTCTTGCATGGATGGTTGTAAAGAAACAATCAGAAATAAAGGAAAACTGAGCAGAATCTGTCTGGTGCCCTCTATTATTAAGTAACCTGTTTTCCAGTTTAAGCCTCAGGAATCTTCAGTTATTGATGGAAAAAACAAAAGGCACTGACTGAGTTGTCCAATCAATAAGATGCAGCCCAAGAAAATCAAGGCATTTAAATGAAATTTGGTTATTGTAATCAGTTTCCTCCCATTCTTTTATTGGAGACAGAGTTTCACTCTTGTTGCCCAGGCTGGAGTTTAGAGTGCAATGGTGCCATCTCAGCTGACTGCAACCTCCACCTGGGGTTTAAATGATTCTTCTGCCTCAGCCTCCCAAGTAGTTGTGATTACAAGCATGCACCACCATGCCCAGCTAATTTGTGTATGTTTAGTAGAGACAGGGTTTCCTCACTATGTTGGTCAGGCTGGTCTCAAACTCCTGACTTTGGGTGATTCAAGCAAGTAGGCCTACCAAAGTGCTGGGGTTACAGGTGTGAGCCACTGTGTCAGGCTTTTTTTTGTTTTTGTTTTTTAAAGGTCTCCTGTCACTCAGGCTACAGTGCAGTGGCACAATCATACCTCACTGCAACCTCAATTTCCTGGGTTCAAGCGATCCTCCCACCTCAGCCTCCTGAGTAGCTAGGACTACAGCTGTGTGAGCCACCACACCTGGATACTTCTTTTTAGTAGAGACAAGGCCTCGCTGTCTTCCCCAGGCTGATCTGGAACTCCTGAGCTTGTGATTCTCCTGCCTTGGCCTCCCAAAATGCAGGGAGTATAGGCATGGACCACCACGCTTGGCTTGGCCTCCTCCAGTTCTTCACTTCTTTAGATGTCTGTTAACTCCTTGTTAGTTTCTGTGGCTGTTCAGTGGGTTAATACACACTAGGTGGACACCAAAGGCCTGGAACATTACTGGGCAAGAACAGTGAGCCAATCCACACGGAAAGCACCTTCTTCTCAGCGTCTTTCACCGCTAGCCAGATGCTGAGACCCTGCCCACTCCCTGTGAGTCTCCACATGCTTCCAGAAGCCTTAGTTGGTGGATGTCAGCTGCACTGCACAAGGACCCACTCTCTTCCCACTGCCCTGGAAGGGGATGTCCATATTGTGTATTAGCTGGAGACTCTGGGCAGCATCAACCCTTGCTTTTTCTCCTGATGACCAGCAGCCCTTCTTGAATTAAACTGGTTGTAGCCAGTAAAGACAGCCACATTCCCTTTAAGTAAAATACTAAAACTATACAGGCATATAACACTTTTTAAATATTTCCATCTGACATTTTAAAAGTTACATCTTTTTGGGGAGCTAGGTCAGATTGATGAGAGATTTTCTCATAACACCTCCCCTCTCTCCCTATGAAGGAAGAGACTAGTGCAGCGTGTTCTGGAATCTGACAGCATCAAAGGGTGGATAACGATCAAGGGCCTGTGGGTGATGAGTGACCTTCCCTGTGCTGAGGAAGCCTGCATAATGGGCACCCAAGTGAAGGATCCTGCTGAGTACTCAGGGGCTGGTGTTGCTGTCAGGGATGTTAGCCTAGAGCCTCACCTTCCTGTAAAATGAGGATGATGATGTCCAACAGCTTATGGGACCTTGGTAGGATCCAATGAGATGGTTCATGTTTAGGGCTTGGCATGGGGTCTGGTATACAGTAAGATCAATACATCTTGTTCTTTTTTCTCTTCTCAGCAGAAGTCCCAGCACTTTTCATCTTTCAATCTCACCTCCTTTTCCTGATAATAGAGAGGCAACAAGAACTCAGGGCATGCAATGGGGCTCAACTTCTACTCTCTGCCACAATTTCATCATGATTCCCCCAAAGAGCAGAGCCCCAGGAGCCAGCAGGGGGCAGGGTGGGCATTTCTGGACTGGATTCATTCATAATAAGATCAAAATTTCCAATCCGTATGTCTCGGGTGCCATCTGCTGATAGATCCGACCAGATGGTATAATTGAGTGTTGCAAGGATTATATTTTATGGTGTTTTTAAAAATGTACTATTATGAGCCAGGTGCAGTGAGTCATACCTGTAATTCCAGCACTTTGGGAGGCTGAGGCAGGTGGATTACCTGAGGTTGGGAGTTTGAGACCAGCCTGAGCAACATGAAGAAACCCCTTCTCTACTTAAAATACAAAAAATTAGCCAGGCGTGGTGGCGCACGTCTGTAATTGCAGCTACTCGATAGGCTGAGGCGGGAGAATCGTTTGAAGCTGGGAGGTGGAGGTTGTTGTGAGCTCAGACTGAGCCATTGCACTCCAGCCTGGGCAACCCTAGCAAAACTCCGTCTCAAAAAAAAAGATAAAATAAAATTTATTATTATGGCCGGGCATGGTGTCTCACACTTCTAATCCCACCACTTTGGGAGGCCAAGGCAGCCTCAGGATTTTGAGACCAGCCTGGCCAACATGGTGAAACCCCGTCTCTACTAAAAATACACAAAATTTGCTGGGAGTGGTGGCATTCGCCTGTAATCCCAGGTATTCAGGAGGCTGAGGCAGGACAATCACTTGAACCCGGGAGGTGAGGGTTGCAATGAGACGAGATTGCACCACTTCACTCCAGCCTGGGCGACAGAGCATGAAAAAAAATTTACTATAATGTGAATACTATTAGAGTATAAATATTTGTGTTGTAATTTATGTATATGAAAGATTAGAACTTTTAAAGAATGCAACGTGATATTTCAAGAATGGTTAATGGCCAGGTGTGGTGGTTCATGCCTGTATTCCTGGCACTTTGGGAGGCCGAGGTGGGCACATCACGAGGTCAGGAGTTCCAGACCAGCCTGGCCAACATGATGAAACCCCGTCTCTACTAAAAATACAAAAAATTAGCCTGGCGTGGTGACAGGTGCCTGTAATCCCAGATAGTCAGGAGGCTGAGGCAAGAGAATCGCTTGAACCTGCGAGGCAAAGGTTGCAGTGAGCCAAGAATGCACCACTGCACTCCAGCCTGGGTGAAAGAGGAAGACTCCGTCTCAAGGAGGGTGAGAAAAAGAATACTTAACTTGGTTTGAAATGTCAAAACAAATGAGATTTTAAAAACTAATTTTAAAGACACTGAACAATAATCATTTCTTCTTTAAAATATATTTAGAATAATACAATTTTAGCTTTGAAAGGAAACATTACAGTTTTAAAAAATATTGAGTTTATTTTATTTTATTTTATTTTATTTGGAGACAAAGTCTCACTCTGTCGTCCAGATTGGAGTGCAGTGGCATGATCACGGCTTACTGCAGCCTTGACCTCCTAGGCTCAGGTGATCTCCCTGCCTCAGTCCCCCTAGTAGCTGGAACAACAGGCATGCACCATCATGCCTGACTTATTTTTGTATTCTTAGTGAAGACCAGGCTTCACCATGTTGCCCAGACTGGTCTTGAAATTCTGGGCTCAAGCGATCCACCTGCCTCGGCCTCCTAAATTGCTGGGAGTGAGCTCCTATAGGCATGAGCCACCGCACCCAGCCTTGAGTTTATTTATTTATTTATTTTGGAGATGGAGTCTCCTTCTGTCATCCGTGCTGGAGTGCAGAGGTACGATCTCTGTTCACTGTAACTTCTGCCTCCAGGGTTCCAGCAATGCTCCTGTCTCAGCCTCCAGAGTAGCTGGGATTACAGACATGCAACACCACACCTGATTAATTTTTGTATTATTATTATTATTATTTTTTAGTAGAGACAGGGTTTTGTCATTTTAGCTAGGCTGGTCTGGAACCCCTGACCTCAGGTGATCCACCTGCCTCGGCTTCCCAAAATGCTACGACTATAGGCGTGAGCCACCACACCCAACCTATTTTTTCCTTTACAGCAGTTTTAGATTCACAGAAAAACTAAGCAGAAACTGCAGAGTTCTCATCTACCTTCTTCCCCCTTCAATACACAGCACCCCCACAGGATCAGCACCCACACCAGCACAGAGCATTCATCACAACCAATGAGCCACAGGGACACATCATTATCATCCAATGTCCATAGTTCACATGAGGGATCATTGCTGGTTTTGTACATTCTATGGATTTTAACAAAGGGATAATGACATGTATCCACCATTAGAGCATCATGGAGAGTAGTTTTCTTTCCCTAAAATTCCTCTGTCCTCTTCCCATTCATCCCATTGTGCTCCCAACCCCTTGCATCCACTGGGCTTTCTACTGTCTCCTTAGAAAAATGCAAAAGCTTTTTCTGGAATGTCTAACAGGATGAGTCTTTTCAGATTGCCTTCTTTCACTTGTACAATAACGTGCATTTAGGAATTTTTCATGTCTTTTTACAGCTTTATAATAGTTCACTGACTGGATGGATCAGTTTGCTTATCCAGTCACTGACCGAAGGGCAACTTGCTAGCTTCCAAGTTTTGGCGATTATGAATAAGTTGCTGTAAACATCCAGGTGTGGGTTTACTCACTTCATTAAATATCCAGGAGCATGATTACGGAATTGTAGGGGTATGGTATGTTTTACAATGATTTCTTCTTTCTTGACAATCTCACTTGTTCGATATTGCTGCTAAAGGTCAGGAACTTTGTCTCCATCATCCTGTGTTCCCACTGCTGAGCATGGAACGTGGCACTTGGTAGCAAATGCTGTTGACCACGTGATGCATGGAAACGTTTATCATGGGTATAGTCACTAAATTGCTACCTTGGGGACATCAACATTAGCTCACTACCAATAATATAAATAAATTGGATTATGGAAAAAAATGGCCCTTGTGATACTGTGGATACTCCAGGTGTATCATGAACGTCCAGCAATTGACCAGGCACAGTGGCTTACATCTGTAATCCCAGCACTTGCAGAGACTGAGGTGGGTGGATCACTTCAGTCAGGAGTTCAAGACGACTCTGGCCAATATGATGAAACCCTGTCTCTATTAAAGACACAAAAATTAACTAGGGGGTTGAGCCAAGATTGCCGAATAGGAACAGCTCCAGTCTACAGCTCCCAGCCTGAGCGGTGCAGAAGACGGGTGATTTCTGCATTTCCAACTGAGGTACCAGGTTCTTCTCACTGGGGAGTGTCAGAAAGTGGCTGTAGGACAGTGGGTGCAGTGCACCGAGCATGAGCCAAAGCAGCGTGAGGCATTGCCTCTCCTGGGAAGTGCAAGGAGTCAGGGAATTCCCTTTCCTAGTCAAAGAAAGGGGTGACAGATGGCACCTGTAAAATCCGGTCACTCCCACCCTAATACTGTGCTTTTCCAAGAGTCTTAGCAAATGGCACACCAGGAGATTATATCCCGTGTCTGGCTCAAAAGGTCCTATGCCCACGGAGCCTCACTCATTGCTAGCACAGCAGTCTGAGATCAAACTGCAAGGCGGCAGCAAGGCTGGGGGAGGGGCGCCTGCCATTGTTGAGGCTTGAGTAGGTAAACAAAGCAGCCAGGAAGCTGGAACTGGGTGGAGCCCACTGCAGCTCAAGGAGGCCTGCCTGCCTCTGCAGACTCCATTTCTGGGGGCAGGGCATTGCCAAACAAAAGACAGCAGAATCCTCTGTAGACTTAAATGTCCCTGTCTGACAGCTTTGAAGAGACTAGTGGTTCTCCCAGCACGCATCTGGAGATCTGAGAATGGACAGACTGCCTCCTCAAGTGGGTCTGTGACCCCTAAGTAGCCTAACTGGGAGGCACCCACCAGCAGGGGCAGACTGACACCTCACATGGCCAGGTACTCCTCTGAGACAAAACTTCCACAGGAACGATCGGGCAGCAACATTTGCTGTTCACCAATATCCACTGTTCTGCAGCCTCTGCTGCTGATACCCAGGCAAACAGCTTCTGGAGTGGACCTCCAGCAAACTCCAACAGACCTGCAGCTGAGGGTCCTGACTGTTAGAAGGAAAACTAACAAACAGAAAGGACATCCACACCAAAACCCAGTCTGTACATCAGCATCATCAAAGACCAAAGGTAGATAAAACCACAAAGATGAGGAAAAAACAGAGCAGAAAAATGGGAAACTCTAAAAATCAGAGTTCCTCTCCTCCTCGAAAGGAACGCAGCTCCTCACCAGCAATGGAACAAAGCTAGAGGGAGAAGGACTTTGATGAGTTGAGAGATGAAGGCTTCAGATGATCAAACGACTCTGAGCTAAAAGAGGAAGTTCGAACCCATGGCAAAGAAGTCAAAAACATTGAAAAAAAATTAGATGAATGGCTAACTAAAATAACCAATGCAGAGAAGTCCTTGAAGGACCTGATGGAGCTGAAAACCATGGCACGAGATCTACATGACAAATGTACAAGCCTCAGTAGCTGATTCAATCAACTGGAAGAAAGGGTATCAGTGAGGGAAGATCAAATGAATGAAATGAAGCGAGAAGAGAAGTTCAGAGATAAAAGAATAAGAGGAAATGAACAAAGCCTCCAAGAAATATGGGACTATGTGAAAAGACCAAGTCTATGTCTTACTGGTGTACCTGAAAGTGATGGGGAGAATGGAACCAAGCTGGAAAACACTCTTCAGGATATTATCCAGCAGAACTTCCCCAATCTAGCAAGGCAGGCAAACATTCAAATTCAGGAAATACACAGAATGCCACAAAGATACTCCTTGAGAAGAGCGACTCCAAGACACATAATTGTCAGATTCGCCAAAGTTGAAATGAAGGAAAAAATGTTAAGGGCAACCAGAGAGAAAGGTCGGGTTACCCACAAAGGGAAGCCCATCAGACTGACAGCAGAGCTCTCGGCAGAAACTCTACAAGCTAGAAGAGAGTGGGGGCCTATATTCAACATTCTTAAGAAAAGAATTTTCAACCCAGAATTTCATATGCAACCAAACTAAGCTTCATAAGTGAAGGAGAAATAAATTCCTTTACAGACAAGCAAATGCTGAGAGATTTTGTCACCACCAGGCCTGCCCTATAAGAGCTCCTGAAGGAAGCACTAAACACGGAAAGGAACAACTGGTACCAGCCACTTCAAAAACATGCCAAATTGGAAAGACCATCGATACTAGGAAGAAACTGCATCAACTAAAGAGCAAAATAACCAGCTAACATCATAATGACAGGATCAAATTCACACATAACAATATTAACCTTAAATGTAAATGGGCTAAATGCTCCAATTAAAAAACACAGACTGGCAAATTGGATAAAGAGTCAAGACCCATCAGTGTGCTGTATTCAGGAAACCCATCTCACATGCAGAGACACACATAGGTTCAAAATAAAAGGATGGAGGAAGATCTTCCAAGCAAATGGAAAACACAAAAAGGCAGGAGTTGCCATCCTTGTCTCGGATAAAACAGACTTTAAACCAACAAAGATCAAAAGAGACAAAGAAGGCCATTACATCATGGTAAAGGGATCCATTCAACAAGAAGAGCTAACTATCCTAAATATAGATGCACCCAATACAGGAGCACCCAGATTCATAAAGCAAGTCCTTAGAGACCTACAAAGAGACTTAGACTCCCACACAACAATAATGGGAGACTTCAACACCCCACTGTCAACATTAGACACATCAATGAGACAGAAAGTTAACAAGGATATACAGGAATTGAACTCAGCTCTGTGCCAAGCAGACCTAATAGACATCTACAGAACTCACCATCCAAAATCAACAGAATATACATTCTTCTCAGCACCACACTGCACTTATTCCAAAAATTGACCACATAGTTGGAAGTAAAGCACACCTCAGCAAATGTAAGAGAACAGAAATTATAACAAACTGTCTCTCAGGCCACAGTGCAATCAAACTAGAACTCAGGATTAAGAAACTCACTCAGTGTGTGATGTTCCCTTTCCTGTGTCCATGTGTTCTCATTGTTCAACTCCCACCTATGAGCGAGAACATGCAGTGTTTGGTTTTTTGTGCTTGTGATAGTTTGCTGAGAATGATGGTTTCCAGCTTCATCCATGTCCCTACAAAGGACATGAACTCATCATTTTTTATGGCTGCATAGGATACCATTAGGAGGTATACCTAAGGCTAAATGACGAGTTAATGTGTGCAGCACACCAACATGGCACACGTATACATATGTAACAAACCTGCACGTTGTTCACATGTACCCTAAAACTTAAAGCATAATAATAATAATAAAAGAAACTCACTCAAAACCGCTCAACTACATGGAAATTGAACAACCTGCTCCTGAATGACTACTGGGTACATAACGAAATGAAGACAGAAATAAAGACATTCTTTGAAACCAATGAGAAAAAAGACACAACATACCAGAATATCTGGGACACATTCAAAGCAGTGTGTAGAGGGAAATTTATAGCACTAAATGCCCACAAGAGAAAGCAGGAAAGATCTAAAATTGACAACCTAACATCACAATTAAAAGAACTAGAGAAGCAAGAGCAAACATATTCAAAAGCCAGCAGAAAGCAAGAAATAGCTAAGATCAGAGCAGACCCGAAGGAAATAGAGACACAAAAACCTCTTCAAAAAATCAATGAATCCAGGAGCTGGTTTTTTGAAAAGATCAACAAAATAGATAGACTGCTAGCAAGACTAATAAAGAAAAGATAGAAGAATCAAATAGATGCAATAAAAAATGATAAAGGGCATATCACCACGGATCCCACAGAAATACAAACTACCATCAGAGAATACTATAAACAACTCTATGCAAATAAACTAGAAAATCTAGAAGAAATGGATAAATTCCTCAACACATACACCCTCCCCAGAATAAACCAGGAAGAAGGTGAATCTCTGAATAGACCAATAACAGGCTCTGAAATTGAGGAAATAATTAATAGCTTACCAACCAAAAAAAGTCCAGGACCAGATGGATTCACAGTCGAATTCTATCAGAGGTACAAGGAGGAGCTGGTACCATTCCTTCTGAAACTATTCCACTTAATAGAAAAAGAGGGAATCCTCCCTAACTCATTTTATGAGGCCAGCATCATCCTGACACCAAAGCCTCGCAGAGACACAACAAAAAAAGAGAATTTGAGACCAATATCCCTGATTAACATCGATGCAAAAATCCTCAATAAAATACTGGCAAACCGAATCCAGCAGCACGTCAAAAAGCTTATCCACCAATATCAAGTCGGCTTCATCCCTGATCCGCAAGGCTGGTTCCACTTACGCAAATCAATAAACGTAATCCATCACATAAACAGAACCAATGACAAAAACCACATGATTATTTCAATATGTGCAGAAAAGGCCTTCGATAAAATTCAACACCCTTTCAGGCTAAAAACTCTAGATAAACTAGGTATTGATGGAACGTATGTAAAAATAATAAGAGCCATTTATGACAAAACCACAGCCAATATCATACTGAATGGGCAAAAGCTAGAAGCATTCCCTCTGAAAACCAGCACAATGCATGGATGCCCCCTCTCACCACTCCTATTCAACATAGTATTGGAAGTTCTGGCCAGGGCAATCAGGCAAGAGAAAGAAATAAAGAGTATTCAAATAGGAAGAGAGGAAGTCAAATTGTCTCTGTTTGCAGATGACATGATTGTATATTTAGAAAACCCCATCATCTCAGCCCAACATCTCCTAAAGCTGATAAGCAACTTCAACAAAGCCTCAGGATACAAAATCAATGTGCAAAAATCAAAATCATTCCTATACATCAACAATAGACAAACGGAGAGCCAATCATGAGTGAACTCCCATTCACAATTGCTAAAAGAAAATAAAATACATAGGAATACAACTTACAAGGGATGTGAAGGACCTCTTCAAGGAGAACTACAAACCACTGCTTAAGGAAATAAGAGAGGACACTAACACATGGAAAAACATTCCACGCTCATGGGTCTGAAGAATCAATATCATGAAAATGGCCATACTGCCCAAAGTGATTTATAGATTCAATGCTATCCCCATCAAGCTGTAATGGAGTTTCTTCACAGAATTAGAAAAAACTACTTAAAACTTCATATGGAAGCAAAAAAGAACCTGTATACACAACACAATCCTAAGCAAAAAGAACAAAGCTGGAGGCATCACGCTACCTGACTTCAAACTATACGACAAGGCTACAGTAACCAAAACAACATGGTACAGTTATCAAAACAGATATGTAGACCAATGAAACAGAACAGAGGACTCAGAAATAATGCCACACATCTACAACCATCTGATCCTTGACAAACCTGACAAAAACAGCCAATGGGGAAAGGATTCCCCATTTAATAAACGGTGTTGGGAAAACTGGCTAGCCATATGCAGAAAACTGCAAATGAACCCCTTCCTTTCACCTTATGCAAAAATTAACTCAAGATGGATTAAAGACTTAAATGTAAGACCTAAAGCCATAAAAACCCTAGAAGAAAACCTAGGTGATACCATTCAGGACATAGGCATGGGCAAAGACTTCATGGCTAAAACACTAAAACCAATGGCAACAAAAGCCAAAATTGACAAATGGGATCTAATTAAAATAAAGAGCTTTTGCACAGCAAAAGAAACTATCATCAGAGTCAACAGGCAACCTATAGAATGGGAAAATTTTTTGCAATCTATCCATCAGACAAATGGCTAATATCCAGAATCTACAAGGAACTTAAGCAAATTTACAAGAAAAAAACAAACAACCCTGTCAAAAAGTGGGTGAAGGATACTAACAGACAACTCTCCAAAAAAACCATTTATCCAGCCAACAAACATATGAAAAAATGTTCATCACCACTGGTCATTTGATTTGCATTTCTCTAATGCAAATCAAAACCACAGTGAGATACCATCTCATGCCAGTTAGAATGGTGATCATTAAAAAGTCAGGAAACAACAGATGCTGGAAAGGATGTGGAGAAATAGGAATGCTTTGACACTGTTGGTGGGAGTGTAAATTAGTTCAACCATTGTGGAAGACAGTGTGGCAATTCCTCAAGGATCTAGAACCAGAAATACCATTTGATCCAGCAATCTCATTACTGGGTATATATCCAAAGGATTATAAATCCTTCTACTATAAAGACACATGCACAAGTATGTTTATTGCAGCACTATTCACAACAGCAAAGACTTGGAACCAACCCAAATGCCCATCAATGATAGACTGG
The DNA here is from genome assembly GCF_000001405.40 of Homo sapiens. Taxonomy (NCBI): domain Eukaryota; kingdom Metazoa; phylum Chordata; class Mammalia; order Primates; family Hominidae; genus Homo; species Homo sapiens. Next base: position 186,050 of record NW_015495298.1, read on the forward strand.
ATAAAGCAAATGTGGCACATATACATCATGGAATACTATGCAGTCATAAAAAATAAGTTCATTTCCTTTGCAGGGACATGGATGAAGCTAGAAACCATCATTCTCAGCAAACTAACACAGGAACAGTAAACCAAAACACCACATAAGTGGGAGTTGAACAATGAGAACTCATGGTCACAGGTAGGGGAACACTACACATCAGGGCCTCTCGGGGTGTGGAGGGCTAGGAGAGGGGTAGCATTAGGAGAAATACCTAATGTAGATGACGGGTTGATGGGTACAGCAAACCACCATGGCATGTGTATACGTATGTAACAAAACTGCACGTTCTGCACATGTATCCCAGAACTTAAAGTGGAAAGAAAGAAAGAAAGAAAGAAAGAAAGAAAGAAAGAAAGAAAGAAAGAAAGAAAGAAAGAGAAAGAAAGAGAAAGAAAGAAAGAAAGAGATGAAGCAAGAAAGATGGAAGGAAGGAAGGAAAGAAAGAAAGAAAGAAAGAAAGAAAGAAAGAAAGAAAGAAAGAAAGAAAGAAAGAAAGAAAGAAAGAAAGAGAAAGAGAGAGAAGGAAAGAAAGAAAGAAAGAAAGAGAAAGAGAGAGAACAAACCTGCATCTGTATTTCTGGAACTAAATACAAGTTTGAAAACCTGCGATTTTCAGTGATTGGTTAGAGACCTGACAAATAGCCATCACATTAGAGTCACCCACTAGATTTCTGCTTTGTCATTTTGGGGAGGTCACAGTTTCCTGTTTGCTCTATTTTCTTGTAGATATAGATCTGTATTTTTGCACTGAAGGAAGAATGATTTACTCCAGTTTTCTCTGTCTGGCTTGCTTTGGTTTGGACTGAATACATTCCCTTAGTGAATCTTCACCACTAGGTTGCTGCTTCCTTCTTGGCTCCAGGTGGTGGCTTAAGCCCAGGTTTACCTAAGTTTTAGTAAACCATGAGAGTGCTGCCAGTCCCAAATGGGGAAAGTCCCAAAGGGATTCTCATGGCAGTGTAGGAGCGCTAGCTAGGTCAAGCCCAGGTTTTCCTGCTTCTTGATAAGGAGAGAAGGGAGGTGTGATAGGAAGATCTCTCATTGAAATGAGTTGGTTTCCAAAAGGATGTATATTTCCATTAATATGGGCTGGAAATATTTAGAATGTATTATCCACCTAAATGATTTTAGCATTATTCTAAGAGAAATTGGATATCTTTACTGGACACAATCACTTTAATTCAGTAAACCCCACTAGTCACCATGAGGACAGGTCAGTGCCCTGGTTTTCCTGTTTTTGATAAGGAGAGAAGGGAGGTGTTACAGGAAGATGTCTCATTGAAATGAGTTAATTTCCAAAAGGATGCATATTGATGTGGGCTAGAAATATTTAGAAAGTGTCATCTACCTAAATGATTTTAGTATTCTTCTAAGAGAAATTGGACATCTTTACTACACACAATTATGTTAATTCAGTAAAACCCACTAGCCACCATGAGGACAGGCAAGGGTTGGTGATGCCATGAGGCTCCCGCTAGTACACACTATGGCCATTCTCTCCCAAGGCAGGGGGCCGCACCTTGTGCAGTGAAGCCCTTTCCTGACATGGCCAATGATCAGGAACAGATTCTCCCAGATCTGCCCATTAGGAGTGAGCAGGGTCTCAGTATCTGGGGAGCAGTGAGGGCCCCTGACAAGAAGAGGGTTGACTCAATGGTTCATCATCACTGCCCACATAGAATGTTCCAGGTCCCAGGCATGCATCTTTTGTGGATGAACCCAGTAAATAACCACAGGAGAAAGTAAGGAAGAGATGACTGGAGAGGTAAAGAATGGGCATAAATTAATCAAAGTTTAGGCTAGGCACAGTGGTTCACGCCTGTAATCCTAGCACTTTGGGAGGCTTCCTTGAGGTCACTTGAGGTTAGGAGTTTGAGACCAGTCAGGCCAACATCGTGAAACCCCGTCTCTACTAAAAACACAAATTCCCTTGAACCCGGGAGTTGGAGGTTGCAGTGAGCCAAGATCACACCACTGCACTCCAGCCTAGGTGACCAAGCAAGACTCCATCAAATAAACAAAACAAACAAACAAACAAACAAAAACAGGTCAGGCTCGGCGGCTCATGCCTGTAATCCTAGCACTTTGGGAGGCCAAGGTGGGCAGATTACCTGAGGTCAGGAGTTCGAGACCAGCCTGATCAACATGGACAAATGCCGTTTCTAATAAAAATACAAAATTAGCTGGGCTTGGTGGTGCATGCCTGTGATCCCAGCTACTCGGGAGGCTGAGGCAGGAAAATTGCTTGAACCCAGGAGGCGGAGGTTGTGGTTAGCCAAGATAGCACCATTTCACTCCAGCCTGGGCAACAAGAGCGAATCTCCGTCTAAAACAAAAGAAAAAGAAAAAGAAAAAAAAAAAACCACAACAACAAAATGAAGTTTATTTTGATTCCTTTATTTCCTGCAGATGAACCTAAATCACAGATGAACTAGTACCTCTTTTTTTAATTCATCAGGAACTAAAGATTTCTGATGTATAAATTGCTGAAACAGGCTAATCAATCATGAAGGACAGCAGAGAGTTTCCATTTAGGTTCCCTCTACTTCCGACGTTTCTTTGTATCCATCCTTGCTGAGATAACTCCTTCACTCTAGAACTTCAGCTTTCTATTTCTGACTGTCTAGGACACAGATCCCTGAGTCTCAGTGACTCCATTCAACTTTTTCCCCAGTGCTGCCCCCTGCTGGGATTTTTTGTTTTCCACTCACAGAAAGCACATGCCTGAAACAGAGGTTTCTCTGTTCCCTTTATAATGCACCTATAGACCCGGCACAGCTGCTTATGCCTGTAATCCCAGAATCTTGGGAGGCCAAGCAGGTGGCTCCCTTAAGCGTAAGAGTTTGAGACCAGCCTGGACAACATAGGGAAACCCTGTCTCAAATTTTTAAATAAAAACTGTAAAATTGTAAAATAAGGAAAAAGAAAAATAAAAGACATCTATGTCCCAGATTTTAGTTTCCAAGTGCCTGGAGAAAAAGCTTTTTATACCTCCACCCCACTAGGCAGGCCTTCCCCACAAGCAAAAATTGAACTCCAGTTGCTCAGTGGGCGACGTGCCACAGCAAGGGCAGGACACCGGACCAAAGAAGATCCTTTTGGGCTCCCTTACTTCCCTCAGTATACGCATCAGCTCAGCCTGAAGTGGGGTGAGGAGCTCCGAAATGACACGACCCCTGTCATCAAGACTCTCCCGAGGGGCAGGATATGTTTCCAGGCTCAAATTGCTCAGCCTGCCTGTGTGGCGCAGCAGGTCCTTCAGACCATCCATGGACGTGTCATTGCCGTGAAAACAGAAAGTGGTGAGGTTGGAGCAGCAGCTCAGGGCAGGCAGGATGACCCTGAGTTTGGAGTCCCGAATCCCACAGTCCACTAAGAAGAGGGTCTGAAGAGTGGCAGCAACTTTCTCTAGCAGAGCTCGGAGGGGCTCAAGACGGATGAAGCGCAGTGCACCATGACTCAGATTCAGCTGCTTCAGTTGACTGAGACTTGGGTACCGGGGCAGACATTTCAAGTCCACTTTTTCTAGGAAGCCATAAGTTAATGCCAATGTCTCCAATGGGCTCCTGAGGCACCTGGGGAGAGCAAGAAGTTAGTACTGGGCAATGGCACCAGTTAGAGGACGGTGGTAGAAAATAACGTCAAGGGAAGAGCCTGCTTTGCCCAAACACAAGTTTGTTCTCATCATCTAATCATGGTCCTCCCGCAAGGTGCTGCCTGATGAGGACTTGGATCATTCAGAGGCAGTCCCATTTTAGGCTCAGTCCTTTCACCATCACTGGTGTAATTGGTTCAAGGCCATAAAATCTCTAAAGCCTCTTTTCTTCATCTTCCAGCAGAAAGCTTCATCTCTGGGCCACAGGAGCCCAGTGGAAGAGATGCCCAAAGAACTGACCTGAGCAAGGTCTAGGGACATCAGCTAGGGCTACCTGCTTTCAGAGGCTCCCTGACATGGCCACATCTGCAAACCACCTGTCACTTTGTACCACTCTCGTGCCTACTCCCTCACCTCCATCCCAGAAGCACGCATTTCCCATGTCACTTACCTTTCCTGGAGTTCAAAACAACCTTTTACAGACAGGGAATCAGAGAGAGGATCATTCATGTTCACTAAGCTGTGAGGACAGAGCTTCCTCTGTGAAACGCACAGGTTTGGTGCACTTTCTCTTCTTTTACACCCTCCCCTCTGTTGCCTCTTTTTTATCATATTAACTTTAAACACACTTCCTAACAAGGAATTCACAAAAGCTATTCATATTTATCATATTAACTTTAAACACACTTCCTAACAAGGAATTCCTAAAAGGAATTCACCCTCACTAGAGCTGAACCCTCCACTAACCAGCTCCCTACACGATGTCCCTCTCTGTAGCTTCTACCCCAGGTCATCCCTCTGCCCTTACTGGAGCGATCCTGTGATACCCACTTCAGGATATAGAGCACCAAACAGGACAGTGCATTCTACTGTCCCCTTCCCTAGACATCTCCAGTGGCTGGCACACAGTAGATGCTGATTGGTGTTTATTGTAACAAAAAAAGGCTGTGCTATGGCCCCCAGAGAAAGCTCACCATCCTTCCTCACCTGATCAGCTGGTCCAGGTGGCCTCTGAAGAAGCAGACCCTTCTTACATAAAGCATCTGGAGGTACTCCAGCCTGAGGAGCACAGAGCTGAATTCAGCAACTAACTGTTCTTGGCTGTCAGAGCTTAGCAGGTAACGACAGCCATCGGAGATGAAGAGTTTGCGAAGATTCCTCATCTGGCTCAGGTAACGGCTAAACTCTACTATCATACACGGCCAGCACATGTTCCAAATTTCCAACACTTGGATACTGTCTGGGTATACTGTTTCCAATATGTTTCTGAAATTTAGAATGCTCATTGAATAATTCACCACCTTAGTACAGCACAGGTGTACTGAACCTCTTCTGTGCTGGACCCACCCAGAGAAGAAGCTCAGATCTTCATCCATGAATTTTTCCTTGAGGCAAACATCCATGAACACCTTCAAGGGCTGCTTCTCTCCTGTCCTTGGACAGTCCTCCACTGTCTGCCTCTTACTCATGGCCTCTGGGGAGCAGGACAGGGGCCTGGCTCCAGACCATATGGTCCAAAAATTCTCATCAACATCCCGCAATTCCAGCACTTGAAGTTTCCACCTCCTGTGAGTAACATAGGGGAAAAGCTCAGAACGTAGACAAGGACCCACCCCTGACCTGGGCTTTCACTCCACATCAAGGACTTCAGCTGCTTTTTTCCTCAGCGCCCCTCCTTCTGTCTCTTCTCCATCCCTTTCCCCCTTGGATTCTGCCTGGTACCCACTTCTAGTGCCTTTACCTTCCACTGGGAGCAGGCAGGTTCCTGTTTCCTCAGTGGACCCTGTATGGTGAGCAGTCCTTTCCCAGAGGAGCTGGGCAATAGCCAAGAACGTTCCCAGCTTTCTCACTGGCACCATCAGAAGCCCCTGGGCCACCCCGGGTTCCCAATTTGTCTGACCCAGCTGTTTAGTCCCTGGACACCTGGGCCCTCCCCACCTGGGTCACCTCACCTGGGGCGAACCTTTTGGGCAAGCAGGCAATCAATCCCATCCACTACATAATGTAAGATCTCCAGATCAGGCGTCTTCATCAGGGACCCCAGAGGGAGGCAGGGGAAGGGCCAGGCCTGCACCATCACCTTCAGAACCTCGCAGCGTCTGCTAGTGAAGGCCTCCACGAACAGTGGGGGGAAGAGCTCCCTGGGCAGCTCATCCAAGATGGAGATGGCCAAGGCCTGGTCCCCCAGCAGGCTCTGCCCTGCCAGCTCCAGGAGTCTGCGTGGGGCCTGTAGGCTCATCCTCATAAATCTGCAAGAAAACAAATCCAGAGAAAAGACAAACTTATCAGGCCAGTCCTCTCACACCCTGACTTCTCCTGGGCCAAAAGTCACTACTCTGGCAGATGTGAAAGAGTCCTAAGTTTACCCCAATTCGACTCTGCAATAATTGGCCACACAGACATAGTTCTGCCCTTCTGGTACCAAGAAGAGTGTCTCCTAACCTCCAAGGAACGGGCAAAATCACTCCTACTCCATGAATTTTCATTAATTGCTCCACCCAACTCTATTAGCTCTGGGAAGTGTTACCAAGAATCTTCAAAGCTCAGCTCCTTTTTTGAGAAAAAATGTCTTCTCAATTTAAGGATCTAAAACAATGGTCATGTGGCTGGGCTTGGTGGCTCACAACTGTAGTCCCAGCACCTTGGAGGCCAAGGCGGGCGGCTCACTTGATGTCAGGAGTTAGAGAACAGCCTGGCCAACAAGGTGAAACCCAGTCTTTACTAAAAATACAAAAAGTAGCCAGGCATGGTGGCAGGTGCCTGTAACTCCAGCTACTCGGGAGGCTGAGGCATAAGAATCACTTGAACCCAGGAGGCGGAGGTTGCAGTGAGCTGAGATAGTGCCACTGCACTCCAGCCTGGGCAATAGAGCAAGACTCAGTCTCAAAAAAAAAAATAAATAAAAAAAATAAAACAATAAAACAATGGTAATGGGAGTCTCCTGTGGCCCCAAACAGTCTACAGTCTCAGTTCCCACAGTGAACTTGGCTGGGAGAGACTAAAGGAATATTTTTAATTAGACACCATTATGTTCACTTTCAAAAAAGTAATGAGGGGCCACACATGGAGGCTCACAGCTGTAATTCCAACACTTTGGCAAGCCAAGGCAGAACAATCACTTAAGCCCTGGAGTTGCTGACCAGCCTGGGCTACATAGTGAGACCCTGTCTCTCCAAAAAAATACAAAAAATAGATGGAAGTGATGGCGCACACCTGTAGTCCCAGCTGCTGTGCAGGCTGAGGTGGAAGGATGGCTTGTGTCTGGGAAGCAGAAGTTACAGTGATCTGAGACTGTGCCACTGTACCCCCAGCCTGGGCAGAACAGCAAGACTCTGTCTTAATAAAATAAATAAATAAATAAAATATTACCCACTTTGGAATGGAGTCTAGAGAAACAAATGGATCCCACATTCAGAACAAAGACTCCATTCTTGAAAATGGTGTATGAGACCAGTCATGTTGGCTCATGCCTGTAATCCCAAGACTTTAGAAGGCAAAGTGGGAGGTTTGCTTGAATCTAGGTGTCCCAGACCAGCCTAGGTAACAAACCAAGACCCCATCACTATAAAAAAAAATAATAATAGGCCTGGCACGGTGGCTCACACCTGTAATCTCAGCACTTTGTGAGACTGAGGCGGGCAGATCGCCTGAGTTTGGGAGTTTAAGACCAGCCTGGCCAACATAGTGAAACCCTATCTCTATTAAAAATACAAAAATTAGCCAGGTGTGGTGGCACACACCCACAGTCCCAGCTACTTGGGAGGCTGAAGCAGGAGAATCACTTGAACCCGGGAAGCAGAATTTGCAGTGAGCCAAGATCATGCCTCTGCACTCGAACCTGGGCAACAGAGTGAGACTCTCTCTCAAAAAAAAAAAAAGAAAAAGACAAAAACAAAACAAAAACAAAAAAATTAGCCGGTTATACTGGTGCATGCCTGAATTCCAGCTATTCAGAAGGCTAGAACTTATGAGTAGGGAGGATGGCTTGAGCCCAGAAGGCAGAGGTTGCAGTGAGTCGAGATCACAATACTGCATTCCACCAAGAATGACGCAGGAAGACAATGCCTCAAAGAAAAAAAAAAAAAAAGACTTCAGTCAATTGCATTATTTTTCAACTGCTTGATTCGGAACTCTGAAGCTGGGCATGGTGGCTCACACCTATAATCCCAGCACTTTGAGAGGCCTAGGTGGGCAGATCACGAGGTCAGGTGTTCGAGACCAGCCTGGCCAACATGGTGAAACCCTGTCTCTACTAAAAATACAAAAATTAGCCGGGCATGGTGGTGGGCACCTGTAATCCCAGCTACTCAGGAGGCTGAGGCAGGAGAATTGCTTGAACTTAGGAGGCAGAGGTTGCAGTGAGCCGAGACCTCATCATTGCACTCCAGCCTGGGTGACAGAGCAAGACTCCATCTCAGAAAAAAAAAAAAAAACATTTGAAATGACATAAACTAAACACAAATAAAATATTTGGAGTGAAGAGATAAAACTGCATTAGAGAAAAAATTAAAGCCTACATCTGTTCATCTGAAAAACAGGCAGGAAAATTCGCTGTGCCACCTTGGCCTTCATGTCGCCATCTCTACTGGCTGACTGTGGGTCATAGGAGTGCCCCTGTGAAGGTACCTGACTTACCAGATCTGGACTCACTTTGCAGTCTGCTCGGACCTCTTGGAGAATCAAGCAATAACTCCAGGTACCACAGCTTGGGGTCTCTTCTGTGGATGTTCACAAGCTTTCTTGGACCTTTCTGTTTTTTTGAGATGGAGTTTCGCTCTTGTTGCCCAGTTTGGAGTAAAATGGCGTGATCTCGGCTCACCGCAACCTCCACCTCCTGGATTCAAGTGATTCTCCTGTCTCAGTCTCCAAAGTAGCCGGAATTACAGGCATGCGCCACCACACCTAGCTAATTTTGTATTTTTAGCAGAGATGGTGTTTCACCATATTGGCCAGCCTGGTCTTGGGAACTCCTGACCTCATGACCCACCCTCCTCCTCAGCCTCCCAAAGTGCTGGGATTACAGGCATGAGCCACGGCTCCCAGCAACTTTCTTGGACTTTCCTAATCCCACCTCCTTTATCAACTTCCAGATTCCTATCAGAAAGTGATACCTGATTGGATTTCTGAATTCCACCCAGTTAAGCCTGATTGAAGTTTTGGCTTTCTGCAGAATAATGGATTGAATCAGATATCCAATCATGAAACTGAAAGCACTGTAATTAGGGTGGAAGTCAAGAACTCATTTTGATGATTTTGATGTCACCAAAGAACTCCCAACCATAATATTTTCCGGTTTTGCTTTTCTGTCTAATCTCAGGAATAGGTTGAACCCTTCCCTGTCTTCCACTCAGGACTAGGAAGGTCACATATTACTACCACTCCATCTCTGCTTCTGGAGGGCATTAATGAGTGAATTCTTGACTTCCACCCGAACAAACACTGATGGAATTTACCAGTATGTGACCTTCTTTGTTCTGAGTGTGAGACAGGGAACTCTCACTCTGTTCCTGACATTAGAGAGAAAAACAAAACCTAAAAAGATTAATGTTGGGGAAATCTTTGGCCCCGTCAAAATTATCAAAATGGGCCAGGCGCGGTAGCTCATGCCTGTAATCCCAGCACTTTGGGAGGTCCAGGCGGGTGGATCACAAAGTCAGGAGATCGAGACCATCCTGGCCAACATGGTGAAACCTTGTCTCTACTAAAAATACAAAAATTAGCCGGGTGTGGTGGTGGGTGCCTGTAGTCCCAGCTACTCAGGAGGCTGAGGCAGGAGAATCACTTGAACCCAGGAGGCGGAGGTTGCAGTGAGCCAAGATCGTGCCAATGCACTGCAGCCTAGGTGACAGAGAGAGACTCTGCCTCAAAAAGCAAAACAAAACAAAATTATAAAAGGTTTCAGCCAGGCACTGTGGCTCACGCCTATAATCCCAGCACTTTGGGAGGCTGAGGCGGGTGAATCACGAGGTCAGGAGATCGAGATCATCCTGGCTAACAGTGAAACCCTGTCTCCACCAAAAATACAAAAAATTAGCCAGGCATGGTGGTGGGCTCCTTTATTCCCAGCTACTCCAGAGGCTGAGGCAGGAGAATGACATGAACCTGGGAGGCGGAGCTTGCAGTGAGCCAAGATCACGCCACTGCACTCCAGCCTGGGTGACAGAGCAAGACTCAGTCTCAAGATAAATGAATAAATAAATAAAAATAAAAATGTTTCAGAGTTTAAACTTTATAAGCCAGACACGGTGGCTCAAGCCTGTAATCCTGGCACTTTGAGAGGACAAGGTAGGCAGATCATGAGGTCAGCAGTTCGAGACCAGCCTGGCAAATATGGTGAAACCGTCTCTACTAAAAATACAATAATTAGCTGGGCATGGTGGGATGCACCTCTAGTCCCAGCTACTCAGGAGTCTGAGGCAGAAGAATCACTTGAACCCGGGAGGTGGAGGTGGCAGTGAGCCAAGATCATGCCACTGCACTACAGCCTGGGTGACAGAGGGAGACACCATCTCAAAAAAAAAAAAAAATCAGTGAATCATGGTGGTGCACACCTGTGGTCCCAGCTACTCTGGAGGCTGAAATGGGAAGATCCATTTTTTGATCCCCACGATGCAGAGGTTGCAGTGAGCCTAGATCAATCTACTGCCCTCTGGGCTGGGCAACAGAGCCTGTATCAAAAACCAAAACCAAACAAAACAAAAAACAGCTTCATGAAGGCAGTGGTTTTATCCCTACAAAATTGAATTTAAATGTTCGTGTATATATTGGTCATTTGGGATTTAAGTTACCCATATGAGGAAATCGTATGCTCATTCGTGTGGAAGAGAGGTACCACTAAGGATGTGATTGGTCTTAAGATTTTGTTCCAGGTTTCTCTGGAGGAAATCAGGTAACAATTACAAAGAGAAGTAAGGGTGGTGGCTGGGCTGGGCTGGGTTGGGCTTAGTGTTCCAATGGGACCTTGAGATTGAACCAAGGCATGGTCAATGTGTTGGGTTTTTGTGGGCATGAGGGAGACTCTTTCCAACATTGGCCAATGCCACCTTAACTGTGATCCTTATGGCCAAGGAGGATGCCTTCAGAACCACTTATGTAATCCTCCTTATTTTTCCTTTCAAAACCCTTGTCTTCCTTGACCTCCCTGAATAGTCTCACACCTATTCCCATTGCTTTGCTCATTTCATAAGAAAAAAATCCTTTTTTACTGAGTCTCTTTCTCTGTCTGTTAAGTACACCATATTTTTGTTGACACACAGATGAGTAACCCAGTTTTAGGGTGAGAAAGGGTCAAAGGATCCCATTCTCCACCAGTCGGAGGTAATAGGACGGTCATGGTTATTCTTCATCATAGCTGCGTCTGCACATTGCCAGTGAAATCCTGCAGATCGGCCAGGCTTGGTGGCTCACACTTGTAATCCCAACACTTTAGGAGGCCAAGTCAGGAGAATCACCTAAGGCCAGGAGTTCAAGACCAGCCTGGCCAACATGGTGAAACCCCATCTCTACTAAAAAATATATACATATATATAAATTAGCCAGGTGTGTTGGGGCATGCCTGTAATCCCAGCTGCTTGGGAGGCTGAGGCAGGAGAATTGCTTGAACAAGGGAGGCGGACATTGCAGTGAGCCAAGACTGCACCATTGCACTCCACCCTGGGTGACAGAGTGAGACTCCATCTCAAAAAAGCAAAAACAAAAACAAAAACCTGCAAATCACATTTGGCAGGCTTCCAAACCAACCATCTGGGGAAGGGCTTAGGATTCATGGCTTACATCCTGTCCCTGAGTAAATCATCTGATCATGAGCTTCTCAAACTCTTCAAGTACTGACAAAGGCTTCACCTTCTGACATTGAGAAGGACGCTGATTTGATTTTGATCATGAAGTTTAACTGTCTTGCACTTCAAGCATTTTGGCCTGTTCATTGTCAACCTTGGTCAATGATTGTAACCTCTGTGTTGTACCCATCATTGAAGAAGGACAACTCAGCTATGAGGAGTCCCACTGCCTTCTACACTCTCTCATGAAAGCATTCCAACTTATAATAGACTTTGGAACACATCCACTTTGTTGCTGTATGTTCCTGGGTCAATTCTCACATTCAGCTTCCAATAAACTTGTATCAAATTATTTTTCCCTCAACATCCTTAATTTCCATTGACACCAGATTGTGTGATTGTGGTTTAAATTGGGATAGAGGAGCAAGCATGGTAGTTAACACCAGTAATCCCAGCATTTGGAAAGCCAAAGTGGGCAGATTGTTGAGTCCAGGAGTTCAAGACCAGCCTGGGCAATGTGGCAAAACCTCATCTCTACAAAAAATACAAAAATTAGCTGGGCATGGTGGCATGCACCTGTACTCTCAGTGACTTGGGGGGATGAGGTGGAAGGATCACTTGAGCCCAGGAGGCAGAGGTTGCAGTGAGCTGAGATCTGCCACTGCACTCCAGCCTGGGTGACAGAGTGAGAACCTGTCTTATAAATAAATGAATAAATAAATAAATAAATAAATAAATAAATAAATAAATAAGGCTGGGCACAGTGGCTCACACCTGTAATCCCAGCACTTTGGGAGGTCGAGGTGGGTGGATCACCTGAGGTCGGGAGTTCAAGACCAGCCTGACCAACATGGAGAAACCCCATCTCTACTAAAAATACAAAATTAGCCGGGCGTGGTGGCACATGCCTGTAATCCCTGCTACTAGGGAGGCTGAGGCAGGAGAATCACTTGAACCAGGGAGGCAGAGGTCGTGGTGAGCTGAGATCACACCAATGCACTCCAGCCTGGGCAACAAGAGTGAAACTCCATCTCAAAATAAAAATAAAATAAAATAAATACATAAATAAATAAATGTAGGAAGAAAAAGTATTTTAATGAATTAGATGAAGTAGCCATTGCATGCTATCTCCATTAAAAGATAAGTAGGTTCCTCTACAAAATGCCCTGATTATTGATGCATCTAATAAACCAAACTATTGGCCGGGTGCAGTGGCTCACGCCTGTAATCCCAACACTTTGGGAGGCCAAGGTGGATGGATCACTAGGGCTCAGGAGTTTCAGACCAGCCTGGCCAACATGGCAAAACCTTGTCTCTACTGAAAATACAAAAAATTAGCCAGGTGTGGTGGAGAGCACCTGTAATCCTAGCTACTTGGAGGCTGAGGCAGGAGAACTGCTTGAACCCAGGAGGCAGAGGTTCCAGTGAGCCAAGATCATGCCATTGCTCTCCAGCCTGGGCAACAGAGTGAGACTCTGTCTCAAAAAAACAAAAACAACACAAACAAACAAAAGAAGCTATTATTTATTTCATACAGTAGAACTGTAGAGACAATCCCTTTGCCTCTCATGTTTCCATTAAACCAATGTCTAGTTTTTTAGTTTTTTGTTTTTTGGTTTTTTTATTGAGACGGAGTCTTGTTATGTTACCCTGGCTGGAGTGCAATGGCACCATCTCAGCTCACTGCAACCTCTGTCTCCCAGGTTCCAGCGATTCTCCTGCCTCAGCCTCCCAAGTAGCTGGAATAACAGGCACTCGCCATAATGCCCAGCTGATTTTTTTGTATTTTTTGTAGAGACGGGGTTTCACCATGTTGGCCGGGCTGGTCTTGAACTCCTGACCTCAGGTGATCTGCCTGCTTCGGCCTCCCAAAATGCTGGGATAACAGATGTGAGCCACTGCGCCCGGCCACCAATGTCTGGTTTTAGTAAGACGTTGATTACGTAGTAGAGGGTAACATGATCATGCTCATGTATTGTTTCATTTTGTTTTGTTTTGTTGTTTTGTTTTGTTTGGTTTTGCTTTGATTGAGACAGAGTCTCACTCTGTTGCCCAGGCTGGAGTGTAGTGTTGCCATCTCGGCTCACTGCAACCTCTACCTCCTGGGTTCAAGCTATTTTCCTGGCTCAGCCTCCCAATTAGCTGGGATTACAGGGGCCTGCCACTACACCCAGCTAATTTTTCTTGTACTTTTAGTAGAGATGGGGTTTCACCATGTTGACCAGGCTGGTCTTGAACTCCTGATCTCAAGTGATCTGCCCTCTTCAGCCTCCTAAAGTGCTGGGATTACAGGCATGAACTACTACCTCTGACTGTTGTTTTGTTTGTTTTTGTTTTTGTTTTTGTTTTGTTTTGTTTTTTGAGATAAGGTCTTCTTCACTCTGTTGCCCAGGCTAGAGTTCAGTGGCATAATCATAGCTCATAGCAGCCTTGAACTCCTGGACTCAAGTGATCCTTCTGCTGCAGCCTCCTAAGTAGTGGTCATGTTCTAATTTTATATCTATTTCCCTTACACATTGGCTTCCAATCTCCATAATGTGTGTCAAACCAAAGAGTCTGATTACAGAGGGAGTCTGGAACACTGCCTAGATCAACCCAGTTGCACTAAGGTTTTCTATGCACAGAAATAAATTTCCAGGCCCTGCTTGGTGGCTCACACCTGTTATCCCAGAACTTTTGGAGGCCGAGTCAGGCAGATTGCTTAAGCCCAGAGGCCAGGAGTTAGTGACCAGCCAGGGCAGCATGGTGAAACCCTGTCTCTACAAAAAAATAAAAAAACACAAAACCTAACCAGGTGTGGTGGCACACACCTGTAATCCTAGCTATTTAGGAGATTGATTTGGAGGATTGATTGAGACTGGCAGGTCAAGGCTGCAATAAGCCGTGATCGTGCCACTTCACTCCAGCCTGGGTTGCAAAACAAGACCCTGTCTCGAAAAAGAAAAACAAAAACAAAGATTAAAAAAAAAATGTTTACATAGCCAGCAATTGATTTGCTTAGTGAAAGAAGCTAAACTTTGAACAGTAGAACTTTGAGAATGTTCAGTTTGAGGCCAGGCACGGTAGCTTACACCTGTAATCCCAGCACTTTGGAAGGCCAAGGTGGGAGGATCACTTGAGGTACGGAGTTCGAGGCCAGCCTGGCCAACATGGTGAAACCCCGTCTCTACTAAAAATACAAAAATTAGCCCGGCATGGTGGTGTAAACCAGTAGTTACAGCTACTTGGACGGCTGAGGCAGGAGAATCGCTTGAACCCGGGAGGCAGAGGTTGCAGTGAGCAGAGATGGTGCCACTGCACTCCAGCCTGGTGACAGAGGGAGACTTTATCTCATTTTTTTTTTTTTTTTTTGAGACGGAGTCTCGCTCTGCTGCCCAGGCTGGAGTGCAGTGGCGCGATCTCGGCTCACTGCAAGCTCCGCCTCCCAGGTTCACGCCATTCTCCTGCCTCAGCCTCCCAAGTAGCTGGGACTACAGGCGCCCGCCACCACGCCCGGCTAATTTTTTGTATTTTTAGTAGAGGCGGGGTTTCACTGTGTTAGCCAGGATGGTCTCGATCTCCTGACCTCATGATCCACCTGCCTCTGCCTCCCAAAGTGCTGGGATTACAGGCGTGAGCCACCGCGCCCGGCCGGGGGACTCTATCTCAAAAAAAAAAAAAAAAAATTCAGTAGTAAAACTTTTGGTTAGCAGGGCACGGCTGCTCACGCCTGTAATCCCAGCACTTTGGGAGGCCAAGGCGGGCAGATCATGAGGTCAGGAGATCGACACCATCCTGGCTAACATGGTGAAACCGCATCTCTACTAAAAATAGAAAAAAAATTAGCCAGGCGTGGTGGCAGGTGCCTGTAGTCCCAGCTACTCAGGAGGCTGAGGCGGGAGAATGGCATGAACCCAGGAGGCAGAGCTTGCAGTGAGCCAAGATCATGCCACTGCACTCCAGCCTCGGTGACAGAGCAAGACTCGGTCTCAAAAAAAAAAAACAAAAAAAAACTTTCGGTTAGTGTAATCTAGTCTTCCCTGTAGATGTAGCTAATTTTATTTTATTTTTATTATTATTTTTATTGAGACAGAGTCTTCCTCTGTCTGCCAGACCGGAGTACAATGGTGCGATCTCGGCTCACTGCAACCTCTGCCTCCTGGGTTCAAGTGATTCTCCTGCCTCAACCTCCCTAGTAGCTGGGAATACAGGCATGCACCACCATGCCCAGCTTCTTTTTGTACCTTTAGAAGAGAAGGGGTTTCACCGTGTTGGCCAGGCTGGTCTCGAACTCTTGACAAGTGATCCACCCGCCTCAGCCTCCCAAAGTGCTGGGATTACAGATGTGAGCCACCGTGCCCAGCCTGATTTAGCTAATTTTAGTTTCAAGATACCATTTGTTCATTCAACCTTTGTAGAAGGCTGAGAAAAACAAGGGCAATGGTAGTGCCACTAAATTTGTAAAATCTTCTTTAAGTGTTTGATAACCTGTCCAGTAAAGTGTGTTCCTGAGACAGGATTGTTCCCTTGACTTTGACCTTCTTCATGGGCAGGAACTAGAGTGGTTTGTTTCACTCCGGCTGCAGTCTGTGGATGGCTGAGTGTGAACAGCTCAGTGTATGGTCAGAGTGACAGCTTCCCGCACCTGCCCTTTTTGACACTCAAGTTCTTATTCGGTGTAAAGGAAGAACCAGGTCACATTAGCTATTTAAAGAGTAGCATAAGTGAAGGATTTTATTGGGTGATAAATGTGGCTCTCAGTGGAAAGGGGAGTTAGAAAGGGGATGGTGCTGCCAGGCGCAGTGGCTCAAGCCTGTAATCCCAGCACTTTGGAAGGCTGTGGGAGGCTGAGGCAGATGGATCACCTGAGGTCAGGAGCTCGAGACCAGCCTGGCCAACATGGTGAAACCCCATCTCAACTAAAAATGCAAAAAAATTAGCTGGGCGTGGTGGCGGGTGACTGTAATCCCAGCTACTTGGGAGGCTGAGGCAGGAGAATCTCTTAAGCCCAGGAGGCAGAGCTTGCAGTGAGCAGTGAGCTGAGATCACGCCACTGCACTCCAGCCTGGGCAACAGAGTGAGACTCCGTCTCAAAAAAAAAAAAAAAAAGAAAGGGGATGGTGCAGCAAGAAGGTGATCTTCCCCTGAAGCCACACCATCTGAAGTTAGCTGCATCTCTCTGTAGGCTTTAATGCTCATCTGCTTGTATCCCCAACGTTCAGCCACTTGTATTCCGATGCTCAGCATCTTGCATCCCCAACCACTTGCAGCAGCCGCTTGTGTTGCTCTGCCAGCTGGTCTTTTTATGGGCCCAGGATAGGGTGTGAGGAAGGCCAAAAGGGCAATCATTTGGGCAGAAAAATGGGGTTAGCTGTTTTCACTTAGGGCCGAGTTTCCAGGATTGAGGGTGGGTTTAGTTGGGAGCCCAGCTGTTCTGAATCATTTCCTTATTGCTGGCCAACAAGGTAAAACCCTGTCTCTACCGAAAATTAGCTGGGTGTGGTGGGGGATGCCTGTAGTTCCAGCTACTTGGGAGGCTGAGGCAGGAGATTCCTTGAACCCAGGAAGCAGAGGTTGCAGTGAGCTGAGATCGTGCCACTGCACTCCAGCCTGGTGACAGAGCAAGACTCCGTATCCAAAAAAAGAAGAATGGGCACACAGATGCCTCAACATTTGGCAACTGAGGGACTTTTCCTCCTGGGTCATTATCCATCCATTCCAATTATGGAAAAATTCCTGCTTTCTAGAGCATTAAAGGAGAATCACCAAGAGGATATCAAGACAGGTGGTGATAAAGCCTTTTGGGTATAGTTGTTCTCACTATTGGGTTTATGCAAATGGAGATATGATAAAGACTTTTTTGGCCACTTTAGGACAGATTACAAAAGAAACCACAAAAAAATGCTGTGGGACACAGAAGTCTCTAAATTCCTTACCTTAAGTGGTTTCAGGGAAATGTTTATGTTTATAGCTAATTGCTACAAGTCTAACTAAAACCAAGGTTGCAGTAGCTCAATGCATAGAACTTATAGATAAGTCCATTTTTGTAAGGTTGCTTTTTGGCTTTGGTTTTAGGCTTATGTTGCCTAAAAGGTTTTAAGTGTTGATGCATGCCTGCCCACCGCCACGCTCATCTGGCCTAGGATGCTTTAATTGGCTGTAAGTCTTTTGGCTCTGAATCTCACGTCCATAGGAGTCCCACCTAGGGGCTGGGTGGACCAAGGCAGGTAGCTCCGCCACCCTGTCATCCACATGAGACAAATTAAAACTTTGGCCATTGATGCTGCTTCTGGCATATCCTGATGAACAGGGGGGAAAATGAGAAATAACAGTGAATTTCTAAGCCCCCTAACTGAAGAAACAGACCCCCTGTTGGTCAAGAGGAAACCCCAGTTATCCTTGAAAACTGAGTTCTCAAGGAGAACGAGATGTTGGGCGGGGGGGGTCCACAAGCTTCACTATACCCCCTCCCTTGCTAACCACCATTAGCCTTTCTTCCTTAAGGGTCAAACAGAAACCAGCTCTTTAAGAATCTACCACTCATAGCAACCAACTGCCTGATGCTGCTTCTCCTGTCAGAGTGGCCATCCGACACTTGGCCACTCTTTTTTTTTTTTTTTTTTTTTTTTTTTGACACGGAGTCTCCTTCTGTCGCCCAGGCTGGAGTGCAGTGGCGCCATCTCGGCTCACTGCAACCTCTGCTTCCCAGGTTCAAGTCATTCTCCTGCCTCAACCTCCCAAGTAGCTGGGATTACAGGCGTGGGCCACCATGCCCAGCTGATTTTTGTATTTTTAGTAGGGACAGGGTTTCAACATGTTGGCCAGGCTGGTCTCGATCTCCCGACATCAGGTTATCCACTCACTGGGATCAGGTGCTGGAATTCCAGCTGTGAGCCACCTTGCCTGGCCATGGCCACCTTTTATGAAAAATAAAGCTCTCCCTTCCAAACTTAAAATAAATAAGTAGTAAAATAAATGATACATACCAACAGAACACTGTATATAGTAAATACACACATATAATATGTATGCAGTTGAAAAATATAATAGTAATGTTGACAAAAAGAGTCAAACTCTGTAATATATGTGAAGAGATTTATTCTGAGCCAAATATGAATGACCATGGCCCATGACACAGCCCTCAAGAGGTCTGGAGAGGCTGGGCGCAGTGGCTCATGCCTGTAATCCCAGCACTTTGGGAGGCCGAGGCAGGCGGATCACGAGGTCAGGAGATCGAGACCATCCTGGCTAAAATGGTGAAACCCTGTCTCTACTAAAAATACAAAAAAAAATTAGGTGGGCATGGTGGTGGGCGCCTGTAGTCCCAGCTACTCGGGAGGCTGAGGCAGGAGAATGGCGTGAACCCGGGAGGCAGAGCTTGCATTGAGCCGAGATCGTGCCACTGCACTCCAGCCTGGGTGACAGAGCAAGACTCCATCTCAAAAAAAAAAAAAAAAAAAAGAGGTCTGGAGAACACGTGCCCAGGGTTGTTTGGGGCGCAGGTTGGTTTTATACAGTTTAGGGGTACATGAAACATCAATTAAATACATCTAAGAAATATATGGCCAGTCCCCCTGGTTCTGTGGCTCACGCCTGTAATCCCAGCACTTTCAGAGGTTGAGGTGGGTGGATCATTTGAGGTCAGGAGTTCGAGACCAGCCTGGCCAACATGCTGAAACCCCATCTCTACTAAAAATACAAAAATTAGCCTGTCACGGTGCTACACAACTTTAATCCCAGCTACTCAGGAGGCTGAGGCAGAAGAATTGCTTGAATCTGGGAGGTGGAGTTTGCAGGGAGCTGAGATCACACCACTGCATCCCAGACTGGGTGACAGAGCCAGAATCCATCTCAAAAAAAAAAAAAAAAAAGAAAGAAAGAAAAAAGAAATACATGGCTGGGTGAGTGGTGGCTCACGCCTGTAATCCCAGCACTTTAGGAGGCCGAGGCGGGTGGATCATCTGAGGTCAGGAGTTAGAGACCAGCCTGGCCAACATAGTGAAACCCCGTCTAATTTTTGTAAAAATACAAAAATTAGCCAGGTGTGATGGTGTGTGCCTGTATTCCCAGCTACTCGGGAGGCTGAGACAGGAGAATTACTTGAACCTGGGAGACAGGGATCGCAGTAAGCCAAGAGCACACCACCGCATTTCAGCCTGGGAGACAGGGATCGCAGTAAGCCAAGAGCACACCACCGCATTTCAGCCTGGGTGACAGAGTGAGAATCTGTGTGAAAGAAAGAAAGAGAGAGGGAGAGAGGGAGGGAGGGGGAGAGAAAGAGAGAGAGAAGAAAAGAAAAGAGAAGAGAAGAAAAGAAAAGAAAAGAAAAGAAAAGAATTACATTGGTTTGGCTCAGAAAGGAGAGACAACTGAAGGGTCGGGGGCTTCCAGGCTATAGGTAAATTTAAACATTTTCTGGTTGACAATTGGTTGAGTTTGTCTAAAGACCGGGGATCCATAGAAAGGAAATGGTCAGGGTGAAATAAAAGATTGTGGAGACCGAGGTTCTTTTGAAATCTCATAGTGGCCACCCTTCGAGACAACAGATGACAGATGTTTGCTATTCAGACCCTTAAAATTACCAGACAGTCCATCTCTTCAGGACTGGGAGGGCCTGCAAGAAAAAGATCTAGCTGTGTTAATAGAGATTCTTTACAGATGCAGATTTTCCCCCATAAAGGACAGCTTTGCAGGGCCATTTCAAGATATGGCAAAGAAACATGCCTTGGGGCAAAATATCTTGACTTTCTCCTCTGTCACAGGATGTTATGCCAGAGTCAGATTGGAAAGTAAGTCACCATATACAGGGCTAAAAAAACTCATCTGATGGGAATTTATGATTTTGGGGCATGACTCTGTAGACTCCTTAGGAATTTGGGCAAGATAAAAAATTCAGACCTTAGTCCTCAGTAAAATGAAGGCATATATACCTTCCACCCACTTTAGGGCCACCTGTCTCTCCACTCTTCTCCTTCCAATCCCATCCACCTATGTGTCTTCCAACAATTTATAAAAGTGACCAAAGGGACAATGAAAATGGTTTTAACATTTGAATATCAACCAAACATGCATGATTGGGCCACGTGCAGTGGCTCACGCCTGCACTCCCAACAACTTTGGGAGGCCGAGGTGGGCAGATCACCAGAGATTACAAGTTCAAGACCAGCCTGGGCAACATGGGAAACGCTGTCTCTAGTAAAAATACAAAAATTAGCCAGGCGTGATGGTGCACATTTGTAATCCCAGCCACTCAGGAGGCTGAGGCAGGAGAATTGCTTGAACTCAGAAGATGGAGGTTGCAGTGAGCCGAGATCACGCCACTGCACTCCAGCCAGGACCACAGACCGAGACTCTGTCTCCCCCCAAAAAAAAAAAAAAAAAAATTCAACAAACGTATTTAAACAAATAAATAGAATAAAAGCACCAGAAAATGATCATCTTAATTGATGTACGAAAAACATTTGAAAAAATTCAATGACTCATTCAGGATTTTAAAAATATTCTCAGCAAAATAAGAAAATAATTCCTCAATATGAATTGCTCAATGGGATTACAGGCACACACCATCCACCTTATCAGTCAGTCCCTTAGTAAATTCCATCAGTGTTTGTTAGGATTAGGGTGGAAGTCAAGAATTCATTCATTAATGCCCTCCACAGAGAATGAATTGTACTAATATGTGACCTTCCTTCCTATTTTTGAGTTTGAGACAGGGAAGCCTTCAATCTGCTCCTGAGATTAGACACAAAAACAAAACCTGAAAGCTTTATGGTTCAGAGAACTTTGGCTGGATCAACGTTATCAAAATGAATTCTTGACCTGCATTCTAATCCCAACACTTTCAATTTCATGATTGGATATCCAAGGGATTGAATGGACACCTGAATTCACAGGCTTAACTGGGTGGAGCTTCAGAAATCCAATCAGGCATCACTCTCTGATGGGAAGCTGGTGGTTGAAAAGGGGAGGTGTGATGAGAAAGGTTCAAGAAAGCTTGTGAGCACCCCCAGAAGAGACCCAGAGCTGTGGTGCCTGGAGTTACTGCTTGGTTCTCCACGAGATCCGAGCACACTGCAAAGTGAGTCCAGATCTGATAAGTCAGGGACCTCCACAAAGGGCACTCCTATGACCCACAGTCAGACAGTCAGGATGACGACACGGAGGTCAAGACGACACAGAGAATTCTCCTGTCTGTTTTTCAGATGAAAAGATGTAGGCTTTGATTTTTCCTCTAATATACTTTTATCTACACTCCAAATATATATCTACATATATATTTTTGTTTGTTTGTTTGTTATGAGACAGAGCCTCACTCCGTTGCCTGGGCTGGAATGCAGTGGCACGATCTCGGCTCATTGCAACTTCCACCTCCTGAGTTCAAGCAATTCTCCTGCCTCAGCCTCCCGAGTAGCTGGGACTACAGGCGCCCACCACCACGCCTGGCTAATTTTTTTTGTATTTTTAGAGAGACAGGGTTTCACCATGTTGGCCAGGCTGGTCTTGAACTCCTGACCTCGTGGTTCACCTGCCTCAGCCTCCCAAAGTGCTGAGATTACAGGCATGAACCACCACGCCCAGCCACTCTCCAAATATTTTATTTCTGTTTTAGTTTATGCCATCTCAAAGTTCTCTTTTATTTTATTTTTTTGAGACAAACTTGCTCTGTCACCCAGGCTGGAGTGCAGTGGTGCGATCCTGGTTCACTGCAACCTCCGCCTCCCGGATCAAGTGATTCTCCTGCCTCAGCCTCCCTACTATCTGGAATGACAGGCGCCCACCACTATGCCTGACTAAATTTTGTATTTTTTTTTTCCCATATTGCTTCAGGGCTTGATAAGCTTCTTTTTTTTTTTTTTTTTTTTTTTTTTTTGAGACGGAGCGTCACTCTTGCGCTGGCTGCAGGGCAATGGCACTTTCATGCGCGTCCTTGTTAAGAGACCACCAAACAGGCTTTGCGTGAGCAATACGGCTGTTTATTTCACCTGGGTGCAGGCGGGCTGAGTCCGACAAGAGAGTCAGTGAAGGGAGATAGGGGTGGGGCCATTTTATAGGATTTGGGAAGGTAATGGAAAATTACAGTCAAAGGGGGTTGTTCTCTGGTGGGCAGGGGTGGATCTCACAAAGTACATTCTCAAGGGTGGGGAGAATTACAAAGAACCTTCTTAAGGGTGGGGGAGACTACAAAGTACCTTCTTAAGGGTGGGGGAGATTACAAAGTACATTGATCAGTTAGGGTGGGGCAGGAACAAATCACAATGGTGGAATGTCATCAGTTAAGGCTGTTTTTACTTCTTTTGTGGATCTTCAGTTACTTCAGGCCATCTGGATGTATACGTGCAAGTCACAGGGGATGCGATGGCTTGGCTTGGGCTCAGAGACCTGACAGGCACAATCTCGGCTCACTGCAACCTCCACCTCCCAGGTTCAAGTGATTCTCCTACCTCAGCCTCCCGAGTACTGGGATTATAGGCAACCACCATCACACCTGGCTAATTTTTGTATTTTTAGTAGAGATGGGATTTCACCATGTTGGCCAGGCTTGTCTCAAACTCCTGACTTCGTGATCCGCCCGCCTCGGCCTCCCAAAGTGCTGGGATTACAGGTGTGAGCCACCGTGCCCAGCCCTGATTTTGTATTTTTAGTAGAGGTAAGTTTTCACCATGTTGGCCAGGCTGGTCTTGAACTCCTGACCTCTCAAGTGATTAACCTGCCTTGGCCTCCCAAAGTGCTGGGATAATAGGCATGAGCTACTGGGCCCTGCCACATTTCAAAGTTCTTTTTTTTTTTTTTTCTCCAAGAAGGAGTCTCACTCTGTCGCCCACGTTGGAGTGCAGTGTCGCGATCTCAGCTCACTGCAACCTCCGCCTCCCGGCTTCAAGCAATTCTCCCGCCTCAGCCTCCCAAGTAGCTGGGATTACAAGGCACCTGCCACCATGCGCAGCTAATTTTTGTATTTTTAGTAGAGATGAGATTTTGCCATGTTGGCCACACTGCTCTCAAACTCCTCACCTCACTGCAACCTCTGCCCCCCACGCTCAACGGATCCTCCCTCCTCAGCCTTCCAAGTAGCTGAGACTCCCGTGATGGCTCACACCTGTAATTCCAGCAACCTTGAAAGGCCAAGGCAGCCAGATCACATGAGGCCAACTCCATCTCTACTTAAAATGCAAACATTAGCCGGGCATGGTGGTGCACACCTGGGTGACCCAGCAAGACTCTGCCTTAAAAAGGAAAAAAAAATGTATTTGTGCTTTGTTTTATGTCATTCCAAAATTCTTAACCAAAGAACTAAAAAAGAATCCAACTGGGCCAGGGACAGCAGCTCATGCCTGTAATCCCAGCACTTTGGGAGACCAAGGTGGGTGCATCACCTGAGGTCAGGAATTTGAGACCAGGCTGACCAACACAGTGAAACGCCTTCTCTACTGAAAATACAAAAATTAACTGGGCATGGTGGCACATGTCTGTAATCCAAGCTACTGAGGAGGCTGAGGCAGGTGAATTGCTTCAGCCCGCGAGGTGGAGGTTGCAGTGAGCCGAGATCATGCCATTGCACTCCAGCCTGGGCAATAGACTCCGTCTCAATTAAAAAAAAAAAAGAATCCAATTAATTAATGTCTGATTCCTTGACATTTAAAATTTGTAGATTGTGTGCTCTTAATTTGCAGTTTATAGACTATGTTATTATGATTTTAATTTCTTGAGACAAAGTCTCACTCTGTCACCCAGCTGTACTGCAGTGGTGTGATAATTGCCTCAGTGCAACCTCTGTCTCCTGTATTCAAGGGATCTTCTCACCTCAGCCTTCCCAGTAGCTGGGATTACAGACCCACACCATGAGGCCTGGCTAATTGTATTTTTAGTAGAGATGGGGTTGTACCATATTGCCCAGGCTGGTCTGGAACCCCTGGACTCCATGTAATCTGCCAGCCCTTAGCCTCCCAAAGTGCTGGGATTACAGGCAAGAGTCACCCCACCCAAGAATGCTATTGTGATTTTGAAAGATAGGCTTTGTTTTTTACTAAAATTATAAAGATATTCCTTCCACTATGTTCTATTAAATTTTTTTATAATGATGGGGTCTCGCTTTGTTAGCCAGGCTGGTCTGGAACACCTGGACTCAAGCAAACCCCCCACCTTGTCTCCTAAAGTCTTGGGATTACAGGCATGAGCCACCATGTCTGGCCTCATACACTATTTTCAAGAGTAGAGTCTTTGTTTTGAATGTAGGATCCATTTCTTCCCCTAGACTCAATCCCAAAGTGTGTTATTATTATTATTATTATTATTATTATTATTATTATTATTATTATTTGAGACAGGGTCTTTCTCTGTTGCCCAGGCTGGAGTGTGGTGGCAAAATCTCAGATAACTGAAACCTCTGCTTCCCAGGCTCAAGCCATCCTCCCACCTCCATGTGCAGAGTAGCTGAGACTATAGGCATGTGCCACAATGCTCAGATAATTACTTAATATTCTAGTAGAGTCTAGTAGACATGGGCTATCACTATGTTGCCCTGGCTGGTCTGGAACTCCTGGGCTCAAGTGATTGTTCTGCCTTGGCTTCCCAAAGTGTTGGGATTACAGCTGTAAGCCGCCATGCTTGGCTTCCCTTTACTTTTTTTTTTTTTTTTTTTTTTTTTGAGACAGAGTCTCACTCTGCCACCCAGGCTGGAATGCAGTGGCTAGATTTTGGCTCACTGCAAACTCTGGACCTCGGGTTGAGAGATTCTCCTGCCTCAGCTTCCCAAGTAGCTGGGATTACAGGCAGGGACCACCACACCCAGCTAATATTTTGTATCGGTACAGATGGTATTTCACCATGTTGGCCAGGCTGGTCTCGATCTCCTGACCTCATGATCCGCCCACCTTGGGCTCCTAAAGTGCTGGGATTACAGGCATGAGCCACCGTGCCTGGCCAAGAAGACATTTTGTTTTCTCAAAAAAGTGGAGATCTGAGCTTCAAAGATCCTTGCTAACACTTCCCAGTGCTATCAGTGTAGTAGTGCAGTGGCTAATAATTCATGGACCCTATAGGAGGGATCTTGCCTGCTCTTTAGAGGTTGGGACACACTCTTCTTAGTACCAGAAGGGCAGAACTATGCCTCTGTGGCCACTTATTGCAGAATGGAATTGGAGTAAACTGAGGGCTCTTTCACACATGCTAGAGAAATGACTTTGGCCCTAGGAGAAGCGGGGATTGCAGGGGATTGGCCTGAGAAACTTGCCTTTTCACTGGATTGTCCTCTAGAGTTTTTCCTTGCAGATTTGTCAGAATGAGCCTCCAGTCCCCATCCAGACTCCTGGAGCTGGCAGGGCAGAGCCTACTGAGGAACCAGTTCTTGACCATCTTCATCCTGGACGAGCTGCCCAGGGAGGTCTTCCCTCTGATGTTCATGGAGGCCGTCAGCAGGAGACGCTGTGAGGCCCTGAAGCTGATGGTGCAGGCCTGGTCCTTCCTCCACCTCCCTCTGGGATCCCTGATGAAGACACCTCATCTGGAGACCTTGCAAGCTGTGCTGAAGGGACTTGATACACTGCTGGCCCAGAAGGTTTGCCTCAGGTGAGGTGACTCAGGTGGCCTGGTGGGAAGGGTCCAGGCATCCAGGGAAGGGACAGCTGGCTCAGGAGGAGTGGTGGGGTTGGGGAGCTAGGGTGGCTCAGAGGCTTCTGATGGTGCCCATGAGAGGCCTTGACCATTGCCCAGATCCTCTGGGAAAGGACTGCTCACCATACAGGGTCCACTGAGGAAACAGGAACCTGCTTTCTCCCAGTGGAACGTAAAGATTCTAGAAGTGAGAACCAGGCAGAACCCAAGGGGGAGCGGGATGGAGAAGAGACAGAAGGAGGAGCACTGAGGACAGGAGCAGCTGACTGATGTCCTGGATGTGGAGTGAAAGCTCAGGTCAGGGGTGGGTCCTTGCCTACATTCTGAGCTTTTCCCCTGTGTTACTCACAGGAGGTGGAAACTTCAAGTGCTGGATTTGCGGGATGTTGATGGGAATTTCTGGACCATATGGTCTGGAGCCAAGGTCCTCTCCTGCTCCCCAGAGGCCATGAGTAAAAGGCAGACAGTGGAGGACTGTCCAAGGATGGGAGAGTGCCAGCCCTTGAAGGTGTTCATAGACCGCTGCCTAAAGAAAAGTACACTGGATGAATGCCTGAGCTACCTTTGTGGGTAGATCCACTACAGAAGAGGTCTAGTGCACCTGTGCTGTAATAAGGTGCAGAATTACTCAATGCCCACTTCAAGTTTCAGAAATTTATTGAAAAGGGTATACCCAGACAGTATCTAGCAGTTGGAAGTTAGGAGAAAGTGCTCTCTGAATAAAACAGGAAAGTTTGCCCCTTACCTGAGCCAGATGAGCAATCTTCGCAAACTCTTTTTAGCCTTCGGTTATGACAGTGAGTTATATGTAAGCGGCCAACAATAGTTCGTTCCTGACTTGGACTGTCCATTCCTCTGCCTGTCCTACCCTCAGATGCTTTATATAAGAAAGGTCAATAATATCAAAGACCTGGAGCACCTGCTCAGGTAAGAAAGGATGGTGAGCTTTCTCTGCGGACCATACCACAGACTTTTGTTCTTTTTCACAGTAAACGCTAGTGGGCATCTACTGTGTGCCAGCCACTGGTGATGTCACAGGGAATGGGACGCTAGAATGTCAACTCATTATGCTGTTCAGTGCTCTATATCCTGAAGTGGGTATCACAAACCCGCTCAAATAAGGGCAGAGGGATGGCCCGGGCCAGATGCTACAGAGAGAGACATGCAGGGATCTAGTTAGTCAGGGGTTCAGATCTAGGGAGGGTGCATTTGTGAATTCCTTTTTAGGAAGTGCGTTTGAAGTTAATATGATGAAACTTACTCTTCATATAGAGGAGAGTATGAAAGAAGGGAAAGTGCATCAAACCTGTGCGTTTCACAGTAGAAGCTCCGTCCTCACAGCTTAGTAAACACCAATGATCCTGCCTCTAATTCTCTGTCTGTAAAAGGTTCTTTTGAACCCCAGGAAAAGTAGTTGACATGAGAAAAGCATGCTTCTTGGACAGAGGTGAGGGAGTAGGCAGGAGAGTGGTATAAAGTGATAGGTGGTTTGCAGACGCGGGCACGTCAGGGAACCTTTGCAGGCAGGTGGCCCTAGCTGATGTCCCTAGACCTTGCTCAGTTGAGTTCTTTGTGCACATCTCCCACTGGGCTCCTCTGGCCCAGAGATGAGGTTGTCTGCTGAAAGATGCAGTAAAGAGGCTTTAAAGATTTTGTGGCCTTGAACCAATCACACAAGCAAGGCTGAAAGGACTGAGCCTAAAATGGAGCTGCCCCTGAATGATCTGAGTCTTCATCAGGCAGCACCTTGCACACAGACCATCATCTGATGATGGGAACAAACTTGTGTTTGGGTGAAACAGGCTTCCCCATTGCAGTTACTATAACACCTGTGTGGTAGTAAGGTGCAGAATTACTCAATGCCCACTTCAAGTTTACCATTGAGATGATTTCCCACCCCTCTCCTCTAACTGGCACCATTGCCCATAACTAATTTCTTGCTCTCCCCAGGTGCCTCAAGAACCTCTTGGGGGCCTTTATATTCTGTCATGCTTACCTAGCTGATCGGGACATGGAGTGTCTGTCTCAGTACCCAAGCCTCAGTCAGCTAAAGGAGCTGCATCTGATTCATATCCTAATGTGGACCACCAATCTTGAGCCCCTTGGAGCTCTGCTAGAGAAAGTTGCTGCTACTCTTGAGACCCTCACGTTAAAGGACTGTCAGATCCAGGACTCCCAACTCAGGGTCCTCCTGCCTGCCCTGAGCCACTGCTCCCAGCTCACCACCTTCTACTTTCAAGGAAACGAGACTTCCATGAATGCTCTGAAAGACCTTCTGTGTCACACAGGTGGGCTGAGCAAGTTAGGCCTGGAGTTGTATCCTTCCCGTCTGGAGAGTCTTGACAACAGGGGTCATGCCAATTGGGAGATCCTTGCCCCAATTCGGGCTGAGCTGATGTGTACACTCAGGGAAGTCAGGCAGCCCAAGAGGATCTTTTTTGGTCCCGTCCCCTGCCCTTCCTGTGGCTCATGGCCATCTGAGAAAGTGGACCTCCATCTTTGCTCTTAGGGAAGGCCTGGCTAGTGGGATGGACACGTTTTCTTCTGGACCCTTGGGCACTAAAATCTAGGACACAGGTGCTTTTTTTTTTTGATGGAGTCTCACTCTGTCCCTCAGGCTGAAGTGCACTGGCACAATCTCAGCTCACTGCAACTTCCACCTCCCAGGTTCAAGTGATTCTCCTGCCTCAGCCTCCCTAGTAGCTGGTGTTACTGGCATGCACCACCACATCCAGCTAATTTTGTATTTTTTTTCTTTTTTTTTTGAGACAGAGTCTCGCTCTGTCACCCAGGCTGGAGTGCACTGGCACGATTTCGGCTCACTGCAACCTCCGCCTCCAGGGTTCACGCCATTCTCCTGCCTCAGCCTCCAGAGTAGCTGGGACTACAGGTGCCCACCACCACACCCAGCTAATTTTTGGTATTTTTAGTAGAGTCAGGGTTTCACCAAGTTAGCCAAGATGGTCTCGATCTCCTGACCTCGTGATCCACCCGCCTCGGCCTCCCAAAGTGTAATTTTTGTATTTTTAGTAGAGACAGGGTTTCACGATGTTGGAGGAGGCTGGCCTCAAACTCCTGACCTCAAGTGATCTGACTACCTTGGACTTCCACAGTGCCGGGTTTACAGGCATGAGCAGCCTGGCCCGGTCAGGTGCATCTTAAAGGAAGCACACGGTCATGTGTTTCAGGCACGTGCTGACTGTGAGTGGAAAAACAAAGGTGACTCAGCTGGGGGCAGGACTTGGTGAAAATGCTGACTTGGCATCAATAAAGCCTTCAGGGACCTGTTTCCTAGACTCGGAAATGGAACCTGAAGTTCTAGAATGATGCAGGAGTTACCCTCGCAAGGATGGTTATTTAAAAATGTCAAAAATAAATGGAACCTGAATGGAAACTTTCTGGTGTCTTCCATGATTGATCAACCTGTTTTAGCCATTTATATATCAGAAATCTCTAGTTACTGATGAGAGGTACTACGTCATCTGTGATTGAGGTTCAGCTGCAGCAAATCAAGGCATCAAAACTGAAATGTGATCATTTTGATTAGTTCTCACTCATTTTTTGCTTCCTTTCAGTCATCTGTTTCTTCCTTAATTTCTCCCATGCCTGTTCACTGGGTTCATTCACAAAGGATGCACACTTGGGGCCTGGAACATTCTGTGTGGGCAGTGATGATGAGCCACTGAAACCTACCCTCTTCTCAGGGGCCCTCACTGCTCCCCAGATACTGAGACCCTGCTCACTCCTAATGGACAGATCCAGAGGAATCCGTTCCTGATCTTTGGCCATGCCAGGAAATGGCTTCATTGGACCAGGAGTGAATTCACATGAAATTCACTGAAAGCTTCACATGAAGCTCAGAAAATTCCTGTGTTCAAAGCAGTCCAAATGACATTTGGACCATTTTTAGGAAAGTATGGCTTTTTATTAGGTGACAACATGGGGATGAGATTTGCTTTCTCCATTAAGGTGATACGTAAAGCTTTCTTTGAAGGGAGAGAAAACCCTAGAGTTTCCTGACCTTCCTTAACCTGAGCTGCTTGGTTCCCTAGAAGCAGAAATTGATCATATTAGAACCCAAACTCATACCAACCTTGACCTTCATGAAGTACTCAAGTGTTTCTGCTCTTCTTCCTCATGTGATGTAGAAAGTATTAAAAGTGATGAGTGTAGGCCGGGCACGGTGGTTCACACCTGTAATCTCAGCACTTTCAGAGGCCGAGGTGGGTGCATCACCTGTGGTCAGGAGTTCCAGACCAGCCTGGGCAACATGGTGAAACTCTGTCTCTACTAAAAATACAAAAACTAGCTGTGTGTGGTGGCCTGTGCCTGTAATTCCAGCTAACTGGGAGACTGAGGCAGGAGAATCACTTGAACCGGGAGGCAGAGGTTGCAGTGAGCTGAGATCGCACCATTGAACTCTAGCCTGGAAAACAAGAATAAAACTCCATCTCAAAAAAAAATTAATAAATAAATACATTATAAATAAATAAATTAATGCTTTAAAGAAAAAAGAAATAAATTTTGCCTACAAGTTTCATATGCAATTGAATACCTCTTAAATTTTGATGTGAACCGACCAGGCATGGTGGCTGAGGCCTGTAATCCAGCACTTTGGGAGGCCGAGGCAGGCAGACCACGAAGTCAGGAGATTGAGACCATCCTAGTTAATATGGTGAAACCCCGTCTTTACTAAAAATACAAAAAATTAGCCAGGTGTAGTGGCATGTACCTGTAGTCCCGGCTATTTAGGAGGCTAAGGCAGGAAAATTGCTTGAACCGGGGAGGCAGAGGTTGAAATGAGCTGAGATCGTGCCACTGCATTCCAGCCTGGTGACACAGTGAGACTCCATCTCAAAAAATAAATGAATAAAATAAATAAAAAAATAAATAAAAATACTGTGACAGGAACCAACATTGCTCAACTTGTACACTAATGTCTTACAAAATCCTTTCCTTGTCACCTTCAAATCTCCATTTCAAATGCTACACTCTGCATAACTCTACCACTTTGTTGCCATTTTCTGATGATGGAGAAGACCATATATGTGTGTGTGGCATCAGAACTATTGACTCCTCCTATTGATGTTTAAGATATTCCATTACACAAACCTGGGTTCATACTTTTTTGTTGATAGATCTTATGCCAAAAATGTAGGCGAAAAATGCCAAGCAGGAAATGCTATCACTTCTGAAGATGAATTCATAGAGATGGAAATTCTTTCAGAACTTATTTTTCCAGCTTTTTCCTTTGTTTGTTCATTTGTGTTTGTTTCCTTGTTTGTTTGTTTTGAGATGGAGTCTCGCTCTGTCACCAAGTTGGAGTGCAGTGGTGAAATCTTGGCTGACTGCAACCTCCTCCTCCTGAGATCAAGCGACTCTCCTGCCTCAGTCTCTCGAGTAGCTAGGATTATGGGTGGGCGCCACCATGCTCAGCTAATTTTTGTATTTTTAGCAGAGACAGGGTTTCACCATGTTGGCTAGGATGGTCTCAATTTTTTGGCATCGGGATCTACCTGCCTTGGCCTCCTGAAGTGCTGGGATAACAGGTGTGAGCCACCACCGTGCCCGGCCTTTTTTTTTTTTTCTTTTGAGATGGAGTCTCACTCTATTGCCCAGGCTGGGAATGGGACTCCTCCTATCAATTATTTTTTTAAATTTTCTTTTGTTTTATTGACCTGACAAGGCTCAAATAGAGTTGAGTTTTTGTTTTCGTTTTTTCCATTGGAAGAGACAATACAGAGGTTACAATCATTGGCTTTAGATGACAAGATAAAAGAATAAAACATATTCCTTGCAAGACAACCAGCAAAACTTCATGATCACCATCAAATCAGTGCCTTCTCACTGTCAGTGGGTGGAAGCCTTCATCAATACTTGCAGAGTTTGAGGCACTCATGAACTCACCATGAGATTCTTTACTCAGGGACAGGATGTAAGCCAAGCAAAAGACCTTCCACAGGTGGTGAATTTGGAAGCCTGCCCAATGTAACCTGCAAGTTTTCACTGGCAATATGCAGGTGCAGATATGACAAAGAATAACCATGACCTTTACATCACCCCCAGCTGTTGAGGAATGGGATCCTTTTGACCCTTTCTGTCCATAGAACCAGGTTGCTCATCTTGTGTGGCAACAACATATGTGGTCTACTTAACAGAGAAGAAGACTCTGTAAAAAAAATGTTTATTATGTAGTAAGCAAAGAAATGGGAATAGATGTGAGATTATTTGGGGAGATAAAGGAAGTTGAAGGTTTTGAAAGGAAAAATAAGGAGGATTATACAAATTGTTTTGAAAGACTCATACTTGGTCATGAGGATTAAAACCAAAAGCGCATCAGTGCAATGTTAGATAGATTCCTCTTACACCCACTCGATAACCCCCAACATGTTCAGCAAGTCTTGGTTCACTCCCAGGTTCCCATTAAAAACCCAGCTCAACCCTGACCAGCTCCACCCTCACTTCCATTTGTAATTTTGACATGACTTTATTACAGGACCATCAGGTTCCTATGCCTGCTGCACAGTAGCTTAGCAATATTCTGAGACAGCAGGGTTTGCAGCAGAGAGTTTAATGATCACAAGGTGGCTGAATGAGAAGCTAGGAGGAGATCCTCAAATTCATCTCCCCAAGGAGTACTGAGGGTTTCCAGTGGATCCTGGATAGCAAGGGGCCGGAAAGTTGGGGTAGCGGTAAGAGGGAAGAAGTCAACAGGATGTAGAAACTGCATTCTTTGGTGAGTTGGTGCATTGCAGGGCCCTTCAGATCAGCTGGCATCAGTAGATTCACTGACATGCAGAACCTGAAAGAATATCTCAGATGAAAAAGTTAATGTTTTACAATGCTTAAATGGTTGTCTGCAGGGAAGTTAAGGGGAACTGTAATCTAAGGTCTAT
Organism: Homo sapiens; assembly: GCF_000001405.40. Classification (NCBI taxonomy): domain Eukaryota; kingdom Metazoa; phylum Chordata; class Mammalia; order Primates; family Hominidae; genus Homo; species Homo sapiens. Next base: position 218,947 of record NW_015495298.1, read on the forward strand.
ATGATTTTGGAACAGTAGGTTGCCAGCAACCATGAGGAACCAGGTCAGAGAGCAAGAAGACCTCCTGATGAATGCTGAATGTGTTCCAAGCTTGGTTTATTTTTGTTTCTCTCCCTCCCTTCTTCACTGATTAAATTTATAAAGTTTATCGATGTGGCTTCAATTTCTTCCAAAGAAGACTTAACCTAAGCCCTGAGACCACTCACGCCCTCAGTGGCACCTCTCCTCCACCAGAATGAGCATGTAATCTGCTACCTTAGGTTATACAAAATCCCGAAGACCATTCAATACATTGAGATTTTTATTCTGATTTCCTAGGGACGACTCCTCTGTTTTTATAAAGCTTTTTAAAGTAGAAAGCATTTTTATATTTTGATGTGGCCAAAGATCTCCTAACAACACTACTTTCAGATTTTATTTTTCTGTCTAATGTTGGGAACAGATCAAATCCTTCCCTGCCTGTCACTCAAGACTATGAAGTTCACATATTAGTAAAATACCATCAGTGTTTGTGGAGTTCATGAATGAATGATTTTTTTATTTTTTGACAGAATGTCCCTCTGTCACCCAGACTGGAGTGCAGTGGCACAATTCTGGCTCACTGCAACCATTGCCTCCTGGGTTCAAGCAATTCTCCTGCCTCAGCCTCCCAAGTAGCTGGGTTTCAGGCACCTGCCATCATGCCCAGGTAATTTTTGTATTTTTGTATTTTTGTAGAGACAGGGTTTCACCTTTTTGACCTGGCTCGTCTTGAACCCCTGACATCAGGTGATCTACTCACCTTGTCCTTCCAAAGTGCTGGAATTACAGCTATGAACCACCTCACCCACCCTTGAATGAATGTATTCTTGACTTCTACCCTATCCCTACCACTGTCGATTTCTTGCTTCATGAAGTGAATATAGATATGTGATATGAATGGACATCTGATTCAATCCGGTAATCTGGGGAGAGCCAAAAACCCAATCAGGATTAACTGGGTGGAGCTTCACAAATGCAATCAGATATCATTTTTTGATTGGAAGGTAGCAGCGGATATGTGCAGGGGCGTGGGTGGGAGTTGTGATTAGAAAGGTCAATAAAAGCTTCTAAAGACGCACAGGAGAGACCCAAAGTCTTCAAGCCTGGAGTTCCTGCTTGGTTCTTCCTGAGGACTGAGCACCTTCTAGACTACATCCAGATCTGGTAAGCCACTAATTTCTGTAAGGACACTCCCATCTGACCTACAGTCAGTCGGTCTGGGATGGTGACAGTGCAGCCTACGATGGCACAGAGCTATATCCTGTCCTTTTTTTTTTCATATGAACAATTTGAAGCTTGAATGTTTTCCTCTAAATGCAGTTCTGTCTTTATTTCAAAAAAGTTGATTGTGCTTTGGTTGATGCCATTTTAAAATTCGTGAAGGGAGCAATGACTCATGTCTTTAACCCCAACACTTTGGGAGGCCAAAGTGGGAGGATCATTTCAGCCCAGGGGTTTGAGACCAACCTGGGCAACATGACAAAAGCCCTCCTCTACACAACGTTTTTTTTTTTTTGAGGGTGGGGATGGAGTCTCACTGTGTTGCCCAGACTGGAGTGCAGTGGCACGATCTCAAATCACTGCAACCTTTACCTCCCGGGTTCAAGCAATTCTCATGCCTCAGTCTCCATCCTCAGAAGCTGGTGTCACAGACATCTGAAACCATGCCTGGCTAATTTTTGTATTTTTAGTAGAGGTGGGGTTTCACCATGCTGGCCAGGTTGGTCTCGAACACCTGACCTCAAGTGATCCACCTGCCTTGGCCTCCCAAAGTGCTGGGATTACAGCTGTGAGTCACTGGTGCTTGGCCTCTACTTTTTTTTATTTTAATTAGCCGAGCATGGTGACATGCATCTGTAGTCCCAGCTATTTGGGTGGCTGGTGTGGGAGAATCACTTGAGCCCAGAAGATTGAGGCTGCAGTGAGCCATGCTCACACCACTGCTGTACTCCAGCCTGGGCAAAAGAGAGAGACCCTGTCCAAAAAACAAAAACAATATCTTAACCAAAAAGGATCTATGACCTTAATTTTAAACCAATCACGTCCTCACTGTAATTCTTCCACTCGAATGGAGACATGGGTGTGGGGGTGCATGCCTGTAATCCCAGCTACGTGGAAGGCTGAAGCATGAGAATTGCTTGAATCTCAGAGGTGGAGGTTACAGTGAGCTGAGATGGCGCCGCTGCACTCCAGCCTGGGCGACAAAGTGAGACTCAGCTTCCCCCACACCAAAAAAAATTAGATTATACCACCCAGGTGATCATTGGATACATGAAGATTTCTATTGTGTGTTCTTGGGGACTGTCAACTCTGTCTTTGAAAACTGTTTTAACTCTGAAATATTTTGATAAATTTGATGTGGCCGAGGATCCCTCAACAAAGATACTTTCAAGTTTTTTCTTTCTGTCTAATATCAGGAAGAGATTCAACCCTTCCCTATCTCACACTCAGGACTGTGAAGGACACATATTAATAAAACCCCATTTTGTTTGTGAAGGGAATCAGTGAATGAGTCCTGGGCTTCCACCCCATCCCTAAATCTTTCACTTTGATGGGTGAATATCTAATTCCATCAGTAAATCTGGAAGAAAGCCAAAAATCCAATCAGGATTAACTGGGTAAATTCGAATCAAATCTAGCTCTCTCTCTCTCCTTTTTCTTTTTCTTTTTTTTTTTTTTTTTTTTTTTTTTTTTTGAATCTAGCCTATTTCCCAGGCTGGAGTTCAGTGGTGTATTGTCAGCTCACTGCAACCTCTGCCTCCTGGGTTCAAGCGATCTTCCTGTCTCAGCCTCCCTAGTAGCTTGGACTATAGGCGCAGACCACCGCAACTGGCTAATTTTTGTAATTTTAGTAGAGGTAGGGTTTTACCATGTTGGCCAGGCTTGTCTCAAACTCCTGACCTCAGATAATCCACCTACCTCTGCGTCCCAGAGTGCTGGGATTACAGGTGTGAGCCACTTCGTCTGGCCTTGAATGAATGTATTCTTGACTTCTACCCTATCCCTAACACTGTCGATTTCTTGCTTCATGAAGTGAATATAGATATGTGATATGAATGGACATCTGATTCAATCCGGTAATCTGGGGAGAGCCAAAAACCCAATCAGGATTAACTGGGTGGAGCTTCACAAATGCAATCAGATATCATTTTTTGATTGGAAGGTAGCAGCGGATATGTGCAGGGGCGTGGGTGGGAGTTGTGATTAGAAAGGTCAATAAAAGCTTCTAAAGACCCACAGGAGAGACCCAAAGTCTTCAAGCCTAGAGTTCCTGCTTGGTTCTTCCTGAGGACTGAGCACCTTCTAGACTACATCCAGATCTGGTAAGTCACTAATTTCTGTAAGGACACTCCCATCTGACCTACAGTCAGTCGGTCTGGGGTGGTGACAGTACAGCCTACGATGGCACAGAGCTATATCCTGTCCTTTTTTTTTTTCATATGAACAATTTGAAGCTTTGAATGTTTTCCTCTAAATGCAGTTCTGTCTTTATTTCAAAAAAGTTGATTGTGCTTTGGTTGATGCCATTTTAAAATTCTTGAAGGGAGCAATAACTCATGCCTTTAACCCCAACACTTTGGGAGGCCAAAGTGGGAGGATCATTTCAGCCCAGGGGTTTGAGACCAACCTGGGCAACATGACAAAAGCCCTCCTCTACACAACGTTTTTTTTTTTTGAGGGTGGGGATGGAGTCTCACTGTGTTGCCCAGACTGGAGTGCAGTGGCACGATCTCAAATCACTGCAACCTTTACCTCCCGGGTTCAAGCAATTCTCATGCCTCAGTCTCCATCCTCAGAAGCTGGTGTCACAGACATCTGAAACCATGCCTGGCTAATTTTTGTATTTTTAGTAGAGGTGGGGTTTCACCATGCTGGCCAGGTTGGTCTCGAACACCTGACCTCAAGTGATCCACCTGCCTTGGCCTTCCAAAGTGCTGGGATTACAGCTGTGAGTCACTGGTGCTTGGCCTCTACTTTTTTTTTTTTAAATTAGCCGAGCATGGTGACATGCATCTGTAGTCCCAGCTATTTGGGTGTCTGGTGTGGGAGAATCACTTGAGACCAGAAGATTGAGGCTGCAGTGAGCCATGCTCATACCACTCCTGTACTCCAGCCTGGGCAAAAGAGAGACACCCTGTCCAAAAAACAAAAACAAAATCAATCAAAAAGGATCTTTGACCTTAATTTTAAACCAATCACATCCTCTTCCACCCAAATGGAGACATGGCTGCAGGGGGTGCATGCCTGTAGTCCCAGCTATGTGGAAGGCTGAAGCATGAGAATTGCTTGAATCTTGGAGGCCGAGGCAACAGTGAGCCGAAATGACACCACTGCACTCTAGCCTGGCCGATGAAGTGAGATTCAGCTCCCTCAACACCAAAAAGACTTATGCCACCTAGGTGATCATTGGATATATGAAGATTTCTATTGTGTTTTCTTAGGGACTGTCATCTCTGTCTCTGAAAACTGTTTTAACCCTGAAATATTTTGATAAACTTGGCATGGCCAAGGATCCCTCAACAAAGATACTTTCAAGTTTTCTTTCTTTCTGTCTAATATCAGGAAGAGGTTCAACCCTTCCCTGTCTCACACTCAGGACTTTGAAGGACACATATTAGTAAAACCCCATGTTTGTGAAGGGAATCAGTGAATGAGTCCTGGACTTTCACCCTATCCCTAAATCTTTCATTTTGATGAATGAATATCTAATTTGATCAGTTAATATTTAAGAAAGGCAAAAATCCAATCAGGATTAACTGGGTAGAGATTAAGAATTCTAATCAAATGTAGCTCTCTCTGTCTCTCTGTTCAATCTAGCCTATTTCCCAGGCTGGAGTGGAGTGGTATAATGTCAGCTCACTGCAACTTCTGCCTCCTGGATTCAAGCGATCCTCCTACCTCAGCCTCCCTAGTAGCTTGGACTACAGGCGCAGACCACTGCACCTGGCTAATTTTTGCTGTCTTAGTAGAGGCAGGGTTTTACCATGTTGGCCAGGCTCGTCTTGAACTCCTGATCTCAGATGATCCACCTGCCTCGGCCTCACAAAATGCTCAGATTACAGGTGTGAGTCACTGCACCCAGCCAAAGTGGTTCACTTTGAATATGTGTAAGAGGTGTGCATTGGAAACATCTATCTTGTGAGTAATGCATAACAGTGTCACATAGCTTTCAGAGCTTCTCACTGAAATTTTCAATAATGAGGCAGGGGTGGAGGCTCACACCTATAATCCCAGTATGTTGGGAGGCCAACAGGGGTAGATTGCTTGAGACTAGGAGTTCAAGACCAGCTTGGACAACATAGCGAAATCCACTGTCTTTACAAAAAGTCAAAAAATAAAAGATGAGCTGGGTGTGGTGATGCATAACTGTGGTCCCAGCTACTTGGGAGGCTGAGGAGGAAGAATCCTTTGAGCTGGGAGGTCAAGGCTGCACTGAGCTGAGATCCCACCACTACACTCCAGGCTGGGTGACAGAGCAAGACCCTGTCAGAAAGAGTGAGAGAGGGAGAGAGAGAAAGAGAGAGAGAATGAGAGAAGGGATGCAGGGAAAGAAGACAAGAAAGAAAGAAGGCAGAGAGAGGGGGAAAGAAAGAAAGAGGGAGAGAGAGGAGGAAACAAAGAAAGAAGGGAGGGAGAGAGGGAAAGAAGGAAAGAAGAAAGAGAGAGAAAGAGAAAGCAAGCTTAAATAATGAAAAGAAAACAAATAGAACCTGTTCTAGGGATGCCCCATGAATGTTCCCAACAAGCTTATTTGTAGGAACTGAAAATGTGGGCATGTAGGCTTGTGACATTCCCATTCCCATTGTTTTAGAACCTTGAGTAATTAGTAATTTCCCCCAATGGTAGGAGGGGTTCACTTTCAGGTTCCTCCACACTCACTAGTCACTGGATGGAGCACTGGATAGAAAGGAAGGGCTCGTGGTGGCCCTGCTTCCTCACTGCTTCGGAGACGCTCATGCTGATGCAGCAGAGGCAGAATGCTGGCTTAATGGCCACTGAGTACAGGGCAGAATTGGAGTAAACTGAGGGCTGTTTCACCATTGCCAGAGCAGTGACTTTGGCCTTGGGAGAAGATAAGATTGCATGGGCTTGGCCTGAGAGTGATGCCTTTTCTCTGGGTTTGTCCTCTGGAAGTTTTCCCTGCAGATTCGTGAAGATGAGCATCCGGACTCCACCCAGACTCCTGGAGCTTGCAGGGCGGAGCCTGCTGAGGGACCAAGCCTTGGCCATGTCCACCCTGGAGGAGCTGCCCACAGAACTTTTCCCCCCACTGTTCATGGAGGCCTTCAGCAGGAGACGCTGTGAGGCCCTGAAGCTGATGGTGCAGGCCTGGCCCTTCCGCCGCCTCCCTCTGAGGCCTCTGATAAAGATGCCTTGTCTGGAGGCCTTCCAAGCTGTGCTCGATGGGCTGGATGCACTGCTTACCCAAGGGGTTCATCCCAGGTGAGGTGGCCCAGGTGGGCTGGTGGGGAGGGCCCAGGTATCCAACCAAAGGAAGAGCTGTGTCATGACAAGTGAGGAGGCCCAAGGGGGATGGTGGTGGTGAGGAAGCCGAGAGGACTTGGCCATTCACCAGCTCCTCAGGGAAAGCACTGCTCACCACGCAAGGTCCATGGAGGTAACAGGAACCTCTCCTCTAATGGCACTGAAAGGCACCATGAAAAGTGAGAACTGGGCCGGGCACGGTGGCTCACAATGTAATCCCAGCACATTGGGAGGCTGAGGCCAAGAGTTGGAGGCCAGCCTGTCCAACATGGTAAACCCCAACTCTACTAAAAATACAAAAATTAGCTGGGCATGGTGGTGGGTTCCTGTAATCCCAGCTACTTGTGAGGTTGAGGCAGGAGAATCATTTGAACCCGGGAAGCAGAGGTTGCAGTGAGGTGACATCACACCACTGCACTCCAGCCTGGGCGACAGAGGGAGACGTGGTCTCAAAAGAAAAACAAAAAAATGTGGAAGTGGGCAGGATCCAAGGGGAAAACAGGGTGAAGAAAAGTCAGAGAGAGGGACAAGAAGCAGGGAGGGGAGGAGCTGCTCTCCAGGATGTGGAGTTTAAGTTCAGAAATGAGTTCTGAAATTCTCATTCTCACCTCTATTTTCCCACAGGAGGTGGAAACTTCAAGTGCTGGATTTACAGGATGTCTGTGAGAACTTCTGGATGGTTTGGTCTGAAGCTATGGCCCATGGGTGCTTCCTCAATGCCAAGAGGAACAAAAAACCAGTGCAGGACTGTCCAAGGATGAGAGGACAGCAGCCCTTGACTGTGTTCGTAGAACTTTGGCTCAAGAACAGGACTCTGGATGAATACCTCACCTGCCTCCTTCTATGGGTCAAGCAGAGGAAAGATTTACTACACCTGTGCTGTAAGAAGCTGAAAATTTTGGGAATGCCCTTCCGCAATATCAGAAGCATCCTGAAAATGGTGAACCTAGACTGTATCCAGGAGGTGGAAGTGAATTGCAAGTGGGTACTGCCCATCCTGACACAGTTTACCCCATACCTGGGCCACATGAGGAATCTTCAGAAGCTCGTTCTCTCCCACATGGATGTCTCTCGCTACGTTTCCCCAGAGCAGAAGAAGGAGATTGTTACCCAGTTCACCACTCAGTTCCTCAAGCTGTGCTGCCTCCAAAAGCTTTCTATGAACTCTGTTTCTTTCCTCGAAGGCCACCTGGACCAGCTGCTCAGGTGAGGGAGGGTGGTGAGCTTTCTCTGCAGACCACAGCAGAGCCTGTTACAGTAAACGCTAGTGGGCATCTACTGTGAGCCAGCCTATGAGGATGAAACAGTGAAGGGGACACTAGAATGTCCATGCATTGTCCTGTTGGCGGCCCTGTCCTGAAATGGGTATCATGCAACCCTCCCAATAGAGGCAGAGGGATCAGCTAGGGGAGATGCTATGGAGAGGCTGCCATGCTAGGAAGCTAGCTCCTGGGGGGTTCAGATCTAGTGAGGGTGCCTTTCTGAATTCTTCCTGAGGATGTGTGTCTAAGTTAAGATGATGAAAAATAGGCCAGGGGCGGTGGCTCATGCCTGTAATCCTAGCAGTTTGGGAGTCTGAGGCAAGAGGATAGCTTGAGCCTAGGAGTTTAAGACCAGTCTGGGTAACATACCAAGACCCCTGTCAGAAATGAATAAATAAAAGTAAAAACAAACAAGATAACTTTCTTTTCTGAGATGGAGTTTCACTTTGATCGTCCAGGCTACAGTGCAGTTGTGACATCTCAGCTCGCAGCAACTTCTGCCTCCCAGGTTCAAGCGATTCTCCTGCCTCAGCCTCCTGAGTGCCTGGGATTACAGGCGTGAGCCACCACACCTGGCTAATTTTTATATTTTAAGTAGAGACAGGGTTTCACCATGTTGGCCAGGCTATTCTCCAACTCCTGACTTCAGGTGATCCACCCACCTTGGACTCCCAAAGTGCTGGGATTATAGGCGAGAGCTACCACGCCCAGCCAACAAGATAATTTTTAAGAAGATGATGTGAAGTAGGGAAGTGAAGTGGGCACTGAAGAGGGGAATGCTCAGCAAACCTGCACATGTCAGAAAATCAGCTTTGTGCCCCACAGTTTCGTGAACATGAATGATCCCATCTCTAATTCCGTGTTGTAAAAGTTTCTTTTGAGCTCCAGGTAAATTAATTACCTAGGAAATGCATGATTCTGAAACAGAGGGTCAGGGAGCAGGCACAAAGAATGGTGAAAGTGATAGATGGTTTGCTGATGATACAGGCTTGTCAGGGACGCCTGCAGCCCGCCCACCGTAGCTGATGTTGCAGGATCCTGTCTGGGTTTGTCCTTTATGCCTGAATCTCCACTGGGCTCCTGTGGCCCAGGGATGTGGTTTTCTGCCTGACAGATGAGGAAAGGGAGCTTTAGGGATTCTGTGAACTTGATCCATTCCTATAAATGATGGTGAAGTGACTCAGCCTCAAATGGAATTATTTTTTTCTCCTTTTTTTTTTAATGCGGAGTCTCTCTCTGTCACCCAGGCTGGAGTGTAGTGGCATGATCTCTGCTCACTGCAACCTACACCTCCTGGGTTCAAGCGATTCTTCTGCCTCAGCTTCCCAAGTAGCTGGAATTGCAGGCTCCCGCCACCACACCTGGCTAATTTTTGGATTTTTAGTAGAGAGGAGGTTTTGCCATGTTCAGCAGGCTGGTCTCAAACTCCTGATCTCAAGGAATCCACCAGTCTCAGCCTCCCAAAGTGCTGGGATTACAGGTGTGAGTTACTGGGCCGGGCCTAAAGTGGAATTGACCTCGGTGGCAAAGCTCTTCATCACACATCATCCTAAATGTTGACCATCAGGCCATCAGAATGACCCTGGACTTGGGCAAAATGGTCTCCATCCATTACCTTGAAGCCATTCCCCACCACCCTCCACTCACCCCTATGATTCCCCAGAATTAACTTCTTGCTCTCTCTCCCCAGCTGTCTGAAGACCTCGTTAAAGGTCCTCACAATAACTAACTGTGTGCTTTTGGAATCAGACTTGAAGCATCTATCCCAGTGCCCGAGTATCAGTCAACTAAAGACCCTGGACCTGAGTGGCATCAGACTGACCAATTACAGTCTTGTGCCTCTCCAAATTCTCCTAGAAAAAGTTGCAGCCACCCTTGAGTACCTGGATTTAGATGACTGTGGCATCATAGACTCCCAAGTCAACGCCATCCTGCCTGCCCTGAGCCGCTGCTTTGAGCTCAACACCTTCAGCTTCTGTGGAAATCCCATCTCCATGGCCACCCTGGAGAACCTGCTGAGCCACACAATCATACTCAAAAACTTATGCGTGGAGCTGTATCCTGCCCCCCGGGAGAGTTATGATGCTGATGGTACTCTCTGCTGGAGCAGATTTCCTCAAATTAGGGCTGAGCTGATGAAGAGAGTGAGGGACTTAAGGCACCCCAAGAGGATCTTGTTCTGTACTGACTGCTGCCCTGACTGTGGCAACAGGTCATTTTATGACCTGGAGGCAGATCAATGCTGCTGTTGAATGCCTGCCTATTTGGGTGGATATGTCAAACGCTTTCTTCTGGACACTTGGAAACTAAAACCTAGGTCTTAGGTACATCCTATAGGGAGCACAGAACCCATCATTTCACACATGGGCTCTGAAAGTGGGAAAGGAAAGGTGATCAAGCAGGGGCAGGACTTGGGGGAAGTGTTGCCATGGATTCGATGGGACTTTGGGGACCTGTGTCCTGTAGAGTGGAAAATGGGAATTTGAATGTCTAGAGTGGAGGCTTGAGAATACTTGAGGGAGTTACTCTTGGATGCATGGTTGTAAAGAAACAATCAGAAATAAAGGAAAACTGAGTGGTAACTGTCTGGTGCCCTCTATTATTAAGTAACCTGTTTTCCAGTTTAAGCCTCAGGAATCTTCAGTTATTGACGGAAAAAACAAAAGGCACTGAGTTGTCCAATCAATAAGATGCTACCCAAGAAAATCAAGGCATTTAAATGAAATTTGGTTATTGTAATCAGTTTCCTCCCATTCTTTTATTTGAGACAGAGTTTCACTCTTGTTGACCAGGTTGGAGTTTAGAGTGCAATGGTGCCATCTCAGCTGACTGCAACCTCCACCTGGGGTTTAAATGATTCTCTTGCCTCAGCCTCCCAAGTAGCTGAGATTACAGGCATGCACCACCATGCCCAGCTAATTTGTGTATGTTTAGTAGCGACAGGGTTTCCTCACTATGTTGGTCAGACTGTTCTCAAACTCCTGACTTTGGGTGATCCACGCAAGTAGGCCTACCAAAGTGCTGGGATTACAGGCGTGAGCCACTGTGTCAGGCTTGTTTTTGTTTTTGTTTTTTAAAGGTCTCCTGTCACTCAGGCTAGAGTGCAGCGGCACAATCATAGCTCACTGCAGCCTCAATTTCCTGGGTTCAAGCGATCCTCCCACCTCAGCCTCCTGAGGAGCTAGGACTACAGGCGTGTGAGCAACCATGCCTGTTTGCTTGTTTTTTTAAGTGGTGACAAGGTCTCGCTGTCTTGCCCAGGCTGATCTGGAACTCCTGAGCTTGTGATTCTCCTGCCTTGGCCTCCCAAAATGCAGGGAGTATAGGCGTGGACCACCACGATTGGCTTGGCCTCCTCCAGTTCTTCACTTCTTTAGATGTCTGTTAATTCCTTGTTAGTTTCTGTGGCTGTTCAGTGGGTTAATACACACTAGGTGGAAACCAAGGGTCTGGAACATTACTGGGCAAGAACAGTGAGCCAATCCACGTGGAAAGCACCTTCTTCTCAGGGTCTTTCACTGCTAGCCAGATGCTGAGACCCTGCCCACTCCTTGTGAGTCTCCACATGGTTCCAGAAGCCTTAGTTGGTGGATGTCAGCTTCACTGCACAAGGAGCCACTCTCTTCCCGCTGCCCTGGAAGGGGATGTCCATATTGTGTATTAGCTGGAGACTCTGGGCAGCACCAACCCTTGCTTGTTCTCCTGATGACCAGCAGCCCTTCTTGAATTAAACTGGTTGTAGCCAGTAAAGACAGCCACATTCCCTTTAAGTAAAATACTAAAACTACACAGGTATGTAACACTTTTTAAATATTTCCATCTGACATTTAAAAAGTTACTTCTTATTAGGGAGCTAGGTCAGATCGATGAGAGATTTTCTCATAACACCTCCCCTCTCTCCCTATCAAGGAAGAGACCAGTGCAGCGTGTTCTGGAATCTCACATGATCAAAGGGTGGATAACAATCAAGTGCCTGTGGGTGATGAGTGACCTTCCCTGTGCTGAGGAAGCCTGCATAATGGGCACCCAAGTGAAGGATCCTGCTGAGGATTCAGGGGCTGGTATTGCTGTCAGGGATCTTAACCAAGAGCCTCAGGTCCCTGTAAAATGAGGATGATGTCCAACGGCTTATAGGACCCTGCAAGGATCCAATAAGATGGTTCATGTTTAGGGCTTGGCATGGGGACTGGCATACAGTTAGATGAATACATCTTGTTCTTTTTTCTCTTCTCAGCAGAAGTCCCAGCAATTTTCATCTTTCAATCTATCTCACCTCCTATTCCTGATAACAGGGAGGCAACAAGAACCCAGGGCATGCAATGGGGCTCATCTTCTACCCTCTGCCACAACTTCATCATGACTCCCCCAAACAGCAGAGCCCCAGGAGCCAGCAGGGGGCAGGGTGGGCATTTCTGGACTGGATTCATTCCTAAGAAGAGTAAAATGTCCAATCCATAGGTCTCGGGTGCCATCTGCTGGTAGATCAGATCAGATGGTGTAATTTAATGTTGCAAGGATTATATTATATGGTATTTTTTTAAATTTACTATTATGAGCCAGGAGCGGTGGCTCGTGTCTGTAATCCCAGCACTTTGGGAGGCTGAGGCCATTGTCATGGCCAGGCTTGGTGTCTCACACCTGTAATCCCAGCATTTTGGGAGGCTGAGGCGGGCAGATCACTTCAGGTCAGGATTTTGAGACCAGCCTGGCCAACATGGTGAAACCCCGTCTCTACTCAAAATACAAAAAAAATTGCTGGGCGTGGTGGCATTCGCCTGTAATCCCAGGTATTCAGGAGACTGAGGCAGGACAATCACTTGAACCCGGGAGGCGAAGGTTGCAGTGAGCTGAGATCGCACCACTGCACTCCAGCCTGGGCAACAGAGCAAGAAAAGAAAATTTACTATAATGTGAATACTAGTTGAGTATAAATATTTGTGTTGTAATTTATGTATATGAAAGATATAAAACTTTTAAAGAATGCAATGTGATATTTTAAGAATGGTTAATGGCCAGGCGTGGTGGCTCACGCCTGTAATCCCAGCACTTTGGGAGGCCGAGGCAGGCAGATCACGAGGTCAGGAATTTGAGAGCAGCCTGGCCAATGTGGTAAAAACCCGTCCCTACTAAAAATACAAAAAATTAGCCTGGTGTGGTGACGGGCCCCTGTAATCCCAGATAGTCAGGAGGCTGAGGCAAGAGAATCTCTTGAACCCAGGAGCAAATGCTGTTGACCACGTGATGCATGGAAACGTTTGTCATGGGTATAGCCACTGAATTGCTAACTTAGGGACGTCAACATTAGCTCACTACCAATAATATAAATACATTGGATTATGGAAAAAATTGCCTTTGTGATACCATATCCATGTGTGACATGAGAGTCCAGCAATTGGCCCGGTGTGGTGGCTCACGTCTGTAATCCCAGCACTTTGGGAGACTGAGGCGCATGGATCACTTCAGGTCAGGAGTTCGAGACCAGTCTGGGCAACACGGTGAAACTCTGTATCTATTAAAAACACAAAAATTCCCACCTATGAGTGAGAACATGCGGTGTTTGTTTTTTTGTCCTTGTGATAGGATGGGAATTGAACAATGAGAACACATGGACACAGGAAGAGGAACATCACACACTGGGGCCTGTTGTGTGGGGAGTGGGGAGGGATAGCATTTGGAGATATACCTAATGTTAAATGACAAGTTACTGGGTGCAGCACACCAACATGGCACATGTATACATGTGTAACTAACCTGCACATTGTGCACATGTACCCTAAAACTTAAAGTATAATAAAAACAAATACAAAAATTAACTGGGCGTGGTGGCAAGTATCATCCCAACTACTGGGGAGGCCGAGGGAGGAGAATTGCTTGAACCCAGGAGGTGGAGGTTACAGTGATCAAAGATCATGCCACTGCACTCCAGCCTGGGCAACAGAGCGAGATGCCATATCAAAAAAAAAAAAAAAAAAAAAAAGAGAGAGAGAGAAAAGAAAACAAAACAAAAGAAAGTCCAGCATGGTAAAAGGTACATAGAGGTACATTTGGGTGAGCTTCCTTTGTTTTTCATTCTTTTTCCCTTCTCTGGACAGAATTCTCAATGCAAAACATTCCAAAAACACAGAGCAAGTGTCTTCTATAACCTTCCCTTTTTTTGAGACTTCTCTTCACAGTGTATGTGCTAGTGTCTTCCAGACTTTTGTGTGACATGCTATACAGAACATCAGATCAAACGGGCACATCCCTAATAAGTGGTGACTTGCCAGATCTGGACTCACTTTGCAGGGTGCTGGGACCTCTCTGAGAATCAAGCAGTAGCTCCAGGAGCCAGGGCTTTGGGTCTCTTCTGTGCATCTTCAGGAGTTTTATTGACTTTTCTCACCACAACCCCCTTCTCAATTACCAACTTCCAATCCAAAAATGACATCCAACTGGATCCTGAACTTCCACCCAGTTAACGGTGATTGAGTTTTCAACTTTCTTCTTATTAAGTGATTAAATTAGATATGGATTTATGAAAGTGAAAGAATTAATAATAGGGTGAAGGACTAAAACTCATTTATTCACTTATTCCATAAATATTGGTAAAGTTTTACCAATATGTGACCTTCATAGTGATACAGGGAAGGTTTTAATCTGTTTCAGACATTAGAAATACATATATTTATATATGGTATCTTTATTGGAGAACCTTTGGCCACATCAAAAGTATCAAAACTTTTCAGAGTTAAAACAGCTTTAAGAAGACAGTGATGTCATCCCTAAAAACACAATAAAAATCTCAGTGTATCCACTGGTCACCTGGGTTTTGCGCTACCTAACATGGTAGATCATATGCCCATTCAGGTGGAAGACAGGAACTACTGAGGGTGTAATTTATCTCAAGGTTAAGGTCAAGGCATCACTGAAAGAAATCAGGCCTAAATTACAAAGTGAGGTGGAGGTTGGGCTGGACAGTACTGACTGTTCTAATGGGACCCTAGGAGGGAACCAAGACAACATAAAACATGGCAGGTATTTTGTGGGCATCTAGACAAAAGGATTGAAAGACTTCCTTCTACATTGAGTTTAAAAATTAAAAAAACCTAATTACAAAAGAGATAATGCAGACTCGTAAAACATCACAGTGTCTTTGAGGGCAGAGAGGGCAGACACAATCTTGACTCCTACTGGAAGGTGAAGCATCATTACTCACAAACAGGATGGGCTTCCCTCAGAATACCAGCTTGGGAAGAGTGAATCTGAGTGTGTGAGCTGGGGCAGAGCCCAGAGAGGAGCAGTGTGGTCAGACATAAGGAGGGAGACTTTTCAATCTGGAAGCATGAATGGTGCAAGCTGTGTATCTGAAGAATTTGGGAGAAAAATGAACCTCTTGGGGGAATCCTGCACCATCCTCAGGACCCCAGTGAGAATCCTGCAGTTTCGGGGGTCTTTCTACCATGTTCTGGTTGCCTGTGCTTCTGAAGGTGCTCCTCTGCTGTCCAGGTCAGAGTAGCTTTCAGAGCCCATCTGAAGGGACGGCCTGACTTCAATTCCACTCACAGAATTTCTACTGGGATTCCAAAGCTTCTCCAGGCTTTTGATGGGGGTCTCTAAAATATTTCTGAATTTCTGTTTTCCTCCCCCAGCCTGAGCTGTGAGAGAAGCTGAATCCTCTGCTTCCTGGAAATGTCAGCCGATCTCTCCTGCACCGAGGACTATGGCCACAAACAATGCTAAGAGACACTCTCCCTGGAATCAGCAGTGACTCATACATTCTCCCCAAATTCTACTGAGCTTTTTGGGTGCACATAGCAAGGCACAAAGCAGGGAGCTCCTCAGCTGCTCTTCCGGACCTAAAGAGGCACCCAGGACCAATGGAGGGGAAGTTTGTCTGCCTTCCACAGGAAGAGCTGACTCCTCTGGTTTTCCTAGAAGTGCCAGGCTGTTGGCAGAGCCTGGGACAGGTCCCAGTGCAGGGGGCCATCCCTTCTAGGATCCCCTTGCCCAGTCTTAGAGCTGACGAGGCTGCACCTGGAATGCAGTGAGTCTGTTTCTGAGTCAGGGCTTTCTTTGCCCATGGTGTTTGCCCTCTCCATGTTTCTAACAGTAGAAATCACTGTTCAGGCCCTGCTGGACTTCTTTAGTCCTCAACAGGATCTCATTCCAGGTCGCATTTGTGACCGTCTTTTCCAAGATCAGGGGCTGCCCCTCCTTTTTTCCCCAATAAAGATCTGAGGAGAAGCTCACTCTGAAAGCAGAGTAGATGCCTAAGAAGGTGCTTGTGGCAGCCTGGGGTGGGGGAGGTCTGGGAACTCGCTGCAGGCTGGATGGAGCCAGGAGGACTAAGGAAAAGAACAGGGCCCAGAAAGGGAGTGGCCCAGAGGAGCTGATGTGGGCCAGAGTAAGTACAGAGGAGAGAGATGGCAGCAGGGTAGGGGGCCGGGTTATTTGGCTTTCACAGAGCCGCGTCCCTGATAAGCTGTGGACTTGTGTCTGAGATCCTCAAAGGACCTGTGCCTGGATGTGGAGCTGTGAGTTTCTAAGGCCCTTTGATTTCACCCTGGTCTACATGAGGTTCCAGTGGCTGCCCCATCTCACCCCAGGGGCAAAGAGTCAGTCTAGCAGGGAGACATGGGGAGAGAGAGTCAATGGCAAACATCCACCCTGGATGCAAAGACAAGGGACATGTCAGAGGGAGGGAGACTTGGTGTGAGGCCAGGGGAAGGGAGGCACGTTGGATATGGTGCAGTTCTGTCTCTGCACTTGCCACAGCCTCATAGGACTGTGAGGATTGAACTTTGCAGGAGGGAATGAGGTAGAATGGGGTCTGGACTGGAGTCCCTGTCATCCAAGTGACCCCCATATCTACTCCTGCCAACCAGGTGAAGGTCTTGCTAGATGTAAGTCAAACCAGGACCTATCAGACTGCCTGGCACTTTCTGATGGATCTAGAAGGAGCACAGTGATCCTCAGTCAAAAAAAATCTTGCATTGTCCAGGGCTGAGGATTTTCAGGTGGCCCTGGAGGGGGAGACTCTGGGGAAAAACCACAGAGAAGATTTTGGCACATTTGACACTATTAACATCCAGTGCCTCCCCTTCCTATTGGTCGGGTGTGGTGGCAGGAGAATTGCTTGAACCCGGGAAGCAGAGGTTGCAGTGAGCTGAGATCACGCCATTGCACTCCAGCCTGGGTGGGCAACAAGAGTGAAACTCTGTCTCAAAAACAAACAAACAAACAAAACAAACAGACAAAAAAATGTGAAACAAAAAAAAAAAACCTTTGAATGAGTGCCTGCAATGTGCCACCTACTATTCTGGGTGCTACTTAGGATAAACAAGAAGCAAGGCAGCTGCAAAGTGAGCTCAACAGAATACACCTGGCTTGGCAGTGCAGTGCAGATCAGAAAAAAAATGCCTGTGCAGCATAAAATGTGAAGAGACATCTTCTTTGCTTTTCTTTTCTTTCTTCTTCTTTTGAAAGACAGAGCCTTACTCTGTTTCTAAGGCTGGCGTGCAGTGGTGCAATCTCGGCTCAGTGCAGCCTCGGCCTCTCAGGCTGAAATGATCCTCCCATGTCAGTCTGCCAGTTAGCTGGAAACACAGGTGTGTTGCATGGAATATCTTTTTCTACCCCTTCACTTTCAGACTACATGTGTCCTTATAGGTGAAGTGAGTTTCTGGAAAACAGCATATAGTATGGTCTTATTCTTTTACTCATTCAACGACCCTAAGACTTTCACTTGCAGAACTGAGATATATTGTCTTCATTGTTGTTATTGATAAAGGCTTAGTACTCCCATTTAATTTCTTGTTTTCTGGTTGGTTAGAGACTTCTCTCTTCCATCCTTCCTTTCTTATTGTCTTTCTTTGTGTTTAAGTAATTTTCCCTTATGAAATCCTTGGGATGTGACTTTTCTGGCCAGAAGCCTCTATGGCTGGGGGCACCTTTGCCGGAGTTTTGATGGGGTTCACTGGGTTTGTTCTGCCCACTCAGACTGGTAGACTATGCTTGGCTCATGCTTCAGGCCTGGATCACATGCCTATTAAGGGAGGGTCAGGACTGGAGCAGTGAGGGGTGTGTGAGTGAGCAGGGGGTCTGGTCACTTTGGACAGTCACTGGCTCCCGCAGCAGTGGGGCAGGCAGCTCCAGGTGCCAGCACAGGTGCCAGATTTTTGCAAGGCTGCAAATGAACCAGGCACAGCAAAAGCAGCTTCCATGTTTGTCCCTGGAGTACACAGTGGTGTCTGCTGCTCTTTCCAGGAAAGTCATCTCATCATCTCCACAGCTCTCAGTAGAGAAAAGGCCCCAGAGTGGATTGCTTGTCTGCAGGAAAATCATCCCAAGAGTGGGTAGTTTCACTCTGCCACTGTTCATCCTGATGTTTTCCCTGAGTCTGGGGCTGTTGGGGCATCATGGGGAAGGAAGTATGTGCTGCTTGGGTCATAGGTAGCCATTGGCAGGCACAGAAAAGGCACCACATATTCCCACTCTGGTCCATAGCACTGGTGGACCAGCCCACGGGCTTCAGGCCCCCCTTGGTCACAAGGTAGAGCCTCACCAGGTACCCTCGTCTTCCCATCCAGGAGTCTGTCTGCCTCCCACCACCACCCATGGCGCCCAGGTCACTTGCATCAAGGAGCATCCAAAGGCCAGCACTGATCTGTCCTCAGCCCCCTCTCAGCCTCCCTCCCATGCTCATCAGGGCCCAAAGCCCAGAGTGTTCAAGACAGCAGGCAGACGGTGCATCAGCACGAACCTGAGCATGCACACGCTCATCTGGGCTGCCACAGCATACATGCTTGACCCCAACTCCGCTCCAAAATTACAGCAGGTGCCAGGAGGGACCACACAGTGGGAGCAGACACCCCCATGCTGCAGGAGAAGGGGAGACCTCCTGAGCCCTCAAGAGCACTGGGGGACCTTGGTTGGAACTGCGACCTGGGCAGCTTCAGTTGTGCCTTTGGAGCTACTGTCCTGCCAACTCGGGAGGGCCAGGACTCCCTCTTGTCCCAGGATCCCATCAGGTTCAAAGTGTATGTAGCCTCAGTTATGCCCTCTCTCTGTGTTTCTCCACAGAGGTGACAGGTGAGATGCAGGTTCACAGCAGCTCTGGCCAACCCTGCAAAAACAAACCCAATGCTTCTGGGTCTGGTTGAATGAGCCCCAACTGCACTCTAGTTAAGAATATTGCAGGCTAACAGCAGGCCGTGAGGAGTGAGTTTGAGGCTTTGTAGAGGCTCCAGACCCGGGAGCGGGTCTCATTAAGCCATGAGAGGGTGTGGGTGGCACAGCTGTCTGCCTCAGGAACACGGGGCAGAGGCCTGGCTCACAACCCTGCCAAGGTGGGGTGCCTCCAGGAGTGGACCGTGGTCCCCAGACCCAGCAATTAGGAACGTCAGTCTCTGTGGTCACCCCTGTGGGGGGCAGATCTTGGAAATGCAGCCCCAGGAGGATTAGCACAGAACCTCCCTTCGACACCCAGGAACTTGGCACTGTTAGCAGGGTGGGCACAGTGGCCCCATAGCTGGCCAGGTCATTGAACTAGGTGCCATTTCTGCTTCCCAACAAAGGCCCCTGTAGCTTGATCCCAGCTC
Organism: Homo sapiens; assembly: GCF_000001405.40. Lineage (NCBI taxonomy): Eukaryota > Metazoa > Chordata > Mammalia > Primates > Hominidae > Homo > Homo sapiens. Next base: position 238,295 of record NW_015495298.1, read on the forward strand.
TGCCTACCACCTCAAGCCCATCTTCTCCTCGGGGCCCCTCTCTGCCCGTCCCTTTGTGCCTGACTGAGCTGCTCCTTGCAGGCGAAAATGTAAGGAAAAAACAGATGACTGAAGAGAAGTAAAGAATGGGTGGAGATCATTGGCACACCCGTAATCCCAGCACATTGGGAGGCCAAGGTCAGCAGATCACTGAAGCCAGGAGCTCAAGACCAGCCTGGTCAACATGGAAAAACCGCGTCTCTACTAAAAATACAAAAACTAGCAGGCTTGGTGGCACTTGCATGCAATTCCACCTACTAGAGTGGCTGAGGCATGAGAATCACTTGAGCCCCGAAGGGTAGGATTGCAGTGAGCCCAGACGGGACCACTGCACTGCAGCCTGGGTGACAAAGCAAGATGTTGTCTTTTTTTTTTTTTTTTTTTTTTTTTTTTTAAAAAAAAGCAAAGAAAAAGAATGGGTGGGAATTAGATGTTTTGCAGCTGAATCTCAATCACAGACAACAGAGTACTTTGATACTTTTCCATCAGTAACTCAATAACTAGAGATTTCTGATGTATAAATCGCTAAAACAAGTCAATCAAATACAGAGGACACCAGAAAGTTTTCATTGAGGTTATTTCTGATATTTCTTGGTAACCGTCCCTGCAGGGATAACATTCTCATCACTGTAGAACTTTAGCTTCTCTTTCTGACTCTGTAGGACATGGGTCCCGTAAGGTCTCATTGACTCCACCTCCACATTTTCCTCCAGTCTTGCCCCCTGCTGTTATCTTTTTTCCCTCATACTGAGCACCTGCCTGAAGCAAAGAATTCTGTGCTTCCTGTAAGTTGCATGTGGCCTGGTCACAATCACTCATGCCAGTAATCCTGGCACTTTAGGAGGCCAAGGCAGGAGAATCCCATGTGCCCAGCAGTTTCAGACCAGCTGGGGCAACACAGCGAAACCCTGTCTCAAATGTTCTTTAATAAAATTTTAGAATTATTAAAAAAGGAAATAAGAAAAAACAAACATAACTTGCACTTACATACTAGATTTTAGTGTCCAAGTGCCTGGAAGAGAACTTTGGATTTATCAACCCCACTAGGCACGCCTTCCCTAGCAGCAAAGATGGAGCTCCAGTTCCTCAGACGGTGATGAGCCACAGGAAGGGCAGGGAGTGGGACCAGTGAAGATCCTCTTGGGCTGCCTGACTTCCCTCAGTGTACACATCAGCTCAGCCCGAAGTGGGGCGAAGATCTCCCAATCGACACGAACCAAGGAATTCAAACTCTCCTCAGGGGCAGGATACGTCTCCAGGCTTAACTTGCTCAGCCCACTGGTGTGGCGCAGCAGGTCCTTCAGGGTGTCCGTAGACATGCAATTTCTGCCAAAGTAGAAGGTGGTGAGCTGGGAGCAGCGGCTCAGGCCAGGCAGGATGGCGCTGAGTTGGCAGTAGTGGATCTGACAGCCCTCGAAGATGAGGGTCTTGAGAGTGGCAGCAATTTTCTCTAGCAGAGCTCCGAGGGGTTCAAGACTGATGCGGAACAGCAGCACGTAGCTGAGATTCAGATGCTTTAGGTAGCTGAGGCTTGGGTACTGAGACAGACACTTCATGTCCTCTTCCAATAGGTAGCCACAAGTTAACTCCAAGTTCTCCAAGGGGTTCTGGAGGCACCTGTGGAGATCAAGAAGTTAGTTCTGGGCAGTGATACCAGTTAGATGAAGGTGGTGGGGAATAACTGAAAGGGAAATGTCTGCTTCACCCAAACACAAGTTTATTCCCATCATGTGATGATGGTCCACATGCAAGTTGCTCTGTGATGAGGACTCTGATCATTCAGGGGCAGTCCTAGTTTAGCCTCAATCCTTTCACCATTGCTTGTGTGATTGGTTCAAGGCCACAAAATCACATCACTAAAGCCTCTTTTCTTCATCTTTTAGCAGAAAACTTCATCTCTGGGCCACAGGTACCCGGTGGGAGATGTGCATGAAGAACTCAACTGAGCAAGGTCTAGGGTCATCAGCTAGGGCTACCTACTGGCAGGGGCTCCCTGACGTGCCTGCATCTGCAAACCACCTATCACTTTTTACCACTCTCACGCCTACTCCCTCAGCCTCCATTCAAGAAGCACACATTTCCCATGTCAGTTACCTTTCCTGGGGTTCAAAACAACCTTTTACAGACAGGGAATAGAGACAGGATCATTTGTGATCACTAAGCTGGTGAGGACAGAGTTTCTACTGTGAAATGCACAGGTTTGATGCGCTGTCCCTCCTTTCATACCCTCCTCTATTACCTCTTTCCTATCATATCAACTTGAAACACACTTTGTAACAAGAAATTCACATATGCACCCCCCAGTAGAGCTGAAACCCCCACTACCTGGCTTGTACATGATGTAGCTCTCTAGCCTCTACCCCAGGTGACCCCGCTGCCCTCATTGCAGAGATCCTGTGATAGCCACTCCGGAACATGGAGCACTGAATGGGACAATGTGTTGATATTCTGGTGTCCCCTTCACTGTGATGTCACCACTGGCTGACACAAAAGTTATGCCTTCTAGCGTTTGCTGTAACAAAAAAAGGCTGTGCTGTGGTCTTCAGAGAAAGTGCACGATCCTTTCTCACCTGATCAGCTGTTCCAGGTGCCCACTGAAGAAGGTGATCAATTTTACTTTAAGCAATTGGAGGTGTTCCAGCCTGAGGAACACAGGCTGAATTTGGTGAGTAACCATTCCTCGAGGTCATTGTCCGAAGAGTAATGATGGCACCTGGAGAAAACGAGTTTGCGAAGATTCTTCATCTCCTTCAGGTAACAATGAAGCTTTCTTATCAGATGCAGCCAGGACATGTTGTGAATTTCCAACTCCTGAATACTATTCAGGTGGACTATTTTCAATGACTTTCTAAGATATTTAATGGGTGTTAGATAATTCACCAACTTACTACAGCACAGGTGTACTAAAACTCTCCTTTGGTAAACCCACTGGAAGAGGTATCTCAGGCATTCATCTTGGGGTGTTTCCTTGAGGCAGACGTCTATGAACACCTTTAAGGGCTGGTGCTCTCCCATCCTTGGATAGTCCTCTGCTGTCTGCCTCTTACTCATGGCCTCTGGGGAGGAGGACAGGGCCTAGCCTCCAGGCCATCCAGCCCAGACATTCTCATCAACATCCAGCAAGTCCAGCACTTGAAGTTTCCACCTCCTATAGGTAAAGTAAGGGAGAAGCTCAGAATTTAGAAGGACCCATCCCTGACTTTTGCTTTCATTCTCATTGCTCCCTGTTCTCTCTCTGACTTTTCTCAGTCCGTTTTCTCTTTTGATTCATACTGCTCCCCACTTCTAGTCCCTTTACCTTCCACTGGGAAAAAGCAGGTTTCTGTTCCCACAGTGGACCCTGTATGGTGAGCAGTCCTTTCTCTGAGGATCTGGACAATGGCCAAAGCCTCCTTGAGCTTCCTCACCAGCACCATCAGAAGACTCTGGGCTACCCTGAGTCAGGCTGGAAAACAAGCCGCTTTATTGTATGTATGTATGTATTTATTTATTTATTTATTTATTTATGGATTTTGAGACCGAGTTTTGCTCTTGTTGCCCCGGTTGCAGTGCAATGGTGTGATCTCAGCTCACCGCAACCTCCGTCTCCTGCGTTCAAGCGATTCTCCTGCTTCAGCCTCCCGAGTAGCTGGGATTACAGACATATACCACCATGCCCAGGTAATTTTGTATTTTTAGTGGAGATGGTGTTTCTCCAAGTTGGTCAGGCTGGTCTCCAACTTCTGACCTCAAGTGATCTGCCCACCTTGGCCTCCCAAAGTGCTGGGATTACAGGCGTGAACCACTGCACTCAGCCTTAAGCCACTTTATATAGGGTTAAATAAACCCCCTCTGAGGGGACTTTGTGATTTGTAGAAGGTGACTCCCCAGGCCCTTTAGTTAGGAATTGCGGACCTTCATGTCCCAACTTCTCCTTTGGATGCAGAGAACCTAATTATAATGCATTTAAATGTAAAGCCTCAACCACCAGGTGAACCTGGGATGTATGTGACATGTATATTTGCTTACCATACATGCATGCATCCCCCACCCTGTGAATTTTCATAGCTGCTCCAATGACCTGCTGAATATGCACACTTGGTGGCCAACAGGTTCAGCATAGATTCCTGGGTCACTTTCCCTCCCTCCAAGCGCTTGCCTCAGGTCCTGCCTGGAGGCCCATTTCCCAGCGAGCAGGTTGTAAACCTTTAGAAGAAATTACGCTCCTTTTTTCTAAATCTATAGACCCCATAATTTTTAGTGGACCTCACTGGTGTTAGAAGTGGGATTCAAAGGGGACCTCCGATCTCTTCCTGATGCCTCCAGAACCAATGCATCCTGCACTGGCAAGAGTCCCGTGAGCTCTTCTCGATTGCGCCATGGGAAGGCCTCGGGTAAGTCTTCCTGAATTCAGATGTCCAGCTCTTAGGTGGAAGATCTCAGAGACTTTAATTCTTCCCAGCTGGTTCTCTCCAAACAGTTTCTGGAGGGGACCTTCTCCATCAGTTCCAGGTTTTGGGACCCATGGTGCCTTCCCTTCCCTGTTCCCTCTCAGTCCCTGTCCTGGCTCCCTAATTGGGATCTTGGAGGGAATCTCTTTGTTGGTCCTGGGTTTGAGGAGACTCTTCCAGTTCCCTCCATCTGGACTGGATAGAAGATTCCTCTGAGGACCCCTGCCTAGCAGGGAGACATTCAGGTCAGACTTCTTGGGTCCATCAGGTTTGGTGAAGATGCTCGCCCTCTAGTGGTGCTTACAGGGACGCCTGTGGTAGGTAAGTGCAGTTATGAGGGCCCTTAGTTCCAAAGGGACAGACTCAGACCAGTGGCCATCAGGAACTCCGGTGACTCTTTGTTTAAAGACTGTGTCCTGTATTACATGGGGGGAAATCTATAAAAAACAGATGAAGTTCATCCATGTGATGACGGCACTGCCGTGACACACAGGTAGTGACCCCGGCAAAAGGAGGGTGACTTCATCCATATTCAACGTGTTTATATTATTGGTGGCAGCTCATGTTGACTGCCCGACATTTGCATTGTAGTGGCTATAAAGTGATTTCTGAGCACTATGTGATCAATAAGCATTTACAGCCACCTGCCAGGTTCCATGCTCTGCTGTGGGACCACAGGGTGACAGAGACACAGTCCCTGCCCTTGAAGAAGCAGTCTCTGTCTACATGAGATTGTCAAGGAAAAAATCATTATCAAACACAACCTAGGCACATGGTCCAGCAGCCACGCTCCTTGGCATTTACCCAAATGAGAAAACCTAAAACCTGGATGTTTTTAACCACTACATTCATAATAGACAAAACTTAATAGGGACCAATATATTCTTCAGCAGATAAATGGATGAATAAACTGTAGCACATCCTGACAGTGTAAATTATTAAGCCCTAAAAGACATAAAAAAAACTTAAATGCACATAACCAAGTGAAAGAAGCCAACATGAAAAGGCCACATGACATTCTGGAAAAGGCAAATCTATGGACACAGTAGAAAGCCCAGGGGTTGCAAGGAGTCAGGGTAGAGTGGGATGGATAGAAAGAGAACAGGTGATTTTTTTAGGGCACTGAAGCTACTCTGCATGATGCTATAAGGGTGAATACATGTCATCCTCAATTCATCAGAACTCATAGAATATACAGCACCAGATGTGAACCCTTAATGTTAATTATGAACTTTGGGTGATAAGGATGGTTCGTGTGGTTCATGCATTGGAGCAAATGGACCACGCTGGGGCAGGACGTTGATCCTTTAGGAGTCCGCGCTAGAGTGGGGTCATGAAGTATGTGGGAATGATCCACTTTCTGCTCAACTTCACTGCAACCTTATAACTGCTCTAAGAAAATAAATCATATATCCCTAAAAATATTGCACTTCCTTCCAGCTCCAAAATTGTATAAACTTAAATATTTTTAAATAAGAGCAATTCTTATTCATTGATCTTCAAAATCAGTTTTGAAGGTGTCATTTTATTTGAGACTCAACACCACATTAAGCATTTTCTAAATATACTTCAAGTTCTGGGACACATGTGCAGAACGTGCAGGTTTGTTACATAGGGATACATATGCCATGGTGGTTTGCTGCACATATCAAGCCATCATCTACACTAGGTATTTATCCTAATGCTAACCCTCCCCCACCATCCCTACCCCCCAACAGGCCCCAGTGTGTGATGTTCCCTGTATCCATGTGTTCGCATTGTTCAACTCCCACTTATGACTGAAAACATGTGGTATTTGCTTTTCTGTTCCTGTGTTAGTTTGCTGAGAATGATGATTTCCAGCTTCATCCATGTCCCTGAAAATGACCTGAACTCATCATTTTTTATGGCTGCATAGTATTGAATGGTGTATATGTGCCATATTTTCTTTATCTAGTCTATCACTGAAGAGCTTTTGGTTTGTTTCCAAGTCTTTGCTATTAAGAACAGTGCCACACTAAACATACGTGTGCATTTGTCTTTATAGTAGAATGATTTATAATCCTTTGGGTATATACCCAGTAATGGGATTGCTGGGTCAAATGATATTTCCAGTTCTAGATCCTTGAGGAATCACCACACTGTCTTCCACAATGCTAGAACTAATTTACACTCCCACCAACACTGTCAAAGCATGCCTAATTTCTCCACATTCTCTCCAGCATCTGTTGTTTCCTGAAAAATATGGAACTTGTCACGAATTTGCACATCATCCTTGCGCAGGGGCCATGCTAATCTTCTCTGTGTCATTCCAACTTTAGTATACGTGCTGCCCAGGCCAACACAAACATTTTCTTTTTTTTTGAGACGGATCTCACTCTGTCCCCCAGGCTGGGGTGCAGTGGCACGCTCTCGGCTCACTGCAAGCTCTGCCTCCTGGGTTCATGCCATTCTGCTACCCCAGCTTTCTGAGTAGCTGGGACTACAGGTGCCTGTCACCATGCCCGGCTAATTTGTTGTATTTTTAGTAGAGACGGGGTTTCATCATGTTAGCCAGGATGGTCTCCATCTCCTGACCTCGTGATCCACCCATCTCGGCCTCCCAAAGTGCTGGGATTACAGTCGTGAGCCACTGTGCCCAGCCTACAAACCTTTTTAAAATATTGCACTACATACTTTAAAATACTAAATTCCCATTATAATTTAAAATTTCAATATACATATATTCAATATGTATAAAATTATATATATTCAATATGTATAAAATTATGTACGTAAATTTATGTAAAAATATGTATTCAATATGTATAAAATTATATATGAATCACAATATTTATTCTCTATAAACACTTACATAACAGCAGATTTTTGGAGATACCACTCAATATCATCCTGTTTGCATCAATAAATTACACCAGATGGTCTGACCAACCAGCAGATGGCACATGAGTCTCATGGGTTGGAAATTTTTATCTCATGATCACTAGAGATGAACTCAGTCCTGCCCCACCCATCCCAACCTCTGCTGGCTGCTGAGGCTCTGCTGTTTGGGGGAATCACGATTAAGTGGTGGTGGTGTGTAGAAGTTGAGTCCCATTGCCTGCCGTGGGTTTCTGCTGCCTCCCTATTATCAGGAATAGAAGGTGAGATTGAAGGGTGAAGAATGCTGGGACTTCTATTAGGAGGGGGAAAAAAAAAAAGAACAAGATGCATGTATTGAGCTCTTACTGTATGCCACGCCCCATTCCAAGTCCTGACCATACACCATCTCATTGGGTCCTACGATAGTCTCATAGGGTGGTGGCATCATCATCTTCATTTTACAGGGAAGCTGAGCCTCTTGGCTGTTTCGTGCCCAATAGCACCAGCCCCTGAGTCCTCGGCAGGGTTCTACACTTAGGTGCCCTTTGTGTAGGGTCCTTCAGCACAGGTGTGGTCATTAATTACCCACAGGCACTTGATCATTATCCACCCTCTAAGGATGTGTGATTCCTACTACCATGCACTAGTCTTCCTTCACAGGGAGAAAAAGGAGGAGTTAAGAAAAGGTCTTTCATTGATGTTACAGGTATTATATGCCTACATAATGTCAGCATTTTGCTGAAAGGGAATTTGGATGTCTTTATTGGCCACAACTACTTTAATTCAGCAAGGGCCGCTACCCACCATGACAGGCATGGGTTAGTGATGCCCTGAGGCTCCTGCTCATACAGTGTGGAGCTCCCCTTCCAGGGCAGGGCCACGCCTTGGGCAGTGAAGTCCTTTCCCAGCACAGGTAACGGTCAGGAACTGAGAGCTCTGAATCCACCCATTGAGAGTGAACAGGGTCTCGGCATCAGGACAGAATGAGGGCACCTGAAGGGGCTTAACTTAAGTGGCTGACACTCACTTTGCACTTAGAATGCTTCAGGCCCTGTGTGCGTCTCTCATGTGCCACTAAATAGGCACAGAGAATAGCAAGAAGGTAACAGGAGGGGGATTGATCTAAATGATCAAATTCCATTTTGATGGTTTGATTTCCAGGAGCTGAACCTCATCAGTCACAGACAAATCAGTGCCTTATTAGCTCGATCAGTAACTGGACTTTTTTAGGTTTAAATTGTTTAATTGTTAAGCCATGTTAAGCAATTACGGAGGACACCAGATAGTTTCCACTCAGTTTCCCTTTATTTCTGACTGTTACTTTACAACCATCTGTGCAGGGGTAACCCTCTCATGTGTCTCTCCTCCCTGATTCTCACTCTAGCAATTCAGATTCCCATTTCTGATTCTCTGGGACACAGGTCTCTAAAGAGCCCATCCACTCCAAGTCAACTTTTCCCCCAGTCCTGCCCCTCCTGCATCCTCATTCCTTTCCCATTCACACTGAGGAGGCATTTGAAACGATGGGTCTGTGCTCCCTTTAACATGCACTCATGGCCTAGGTTTCAGCTCCGAAATGACCAGAAGAAAGCTTGAAATATATCCACCCTGATGGCAGGCATTCAACAGAGGCAGTGACTGGGCTCCAGGTCATAGGAGGCCCTGATGCCACAGCGAGGGCAGGGGACGGTGCAGAACACAATGATCTTGGGCTGCCTTAAGTCCCTCAGTGTGTTCATCAGCTCAGCCCCAAGTTCAGCAAATCTCCCCCAGCAGAGAGCTCCCTGGGTGTCATAACTCTCCAGAGGGGCAGGATACAGCTCCAGGCTTAGCTTGCTCAGCCCGACGGTGTGGCGCAGCAGGTTCTCAAGGGCAGCCATGGAGATGAGGTTCCCACAGAAGCTGAAGGTGCTGAGCTGGGAGCAGCGGCTCAGGACAGGCAGGATGGCGCTGAGTTGGGAATCCATGATCCCACAGTCCTCTAAGTCCAGGGTCTGCAGGGTGGCCACAACTTGCTCCAGCAGACCTGTGAGGGGCTCAGGGCTGAAATGGGTCAGCGTGACACCCCTCAGGTCCAGCTCCTTTAATTGACGGATGCTCGGGCACCAAGAGAGATGCTTCAAGTCCGACTCTGACAGCAGGCAGTCGGTCATAACGACCATCTCCAAGGAGGCCTGGAGACACCTGGGAGAGAACAAGAAGGAGTTAGAGGAGAGAGGTGGGGATGACTTCAGGGTGAGAGATGATGCTCTCCATAACCCAGGGCTGCTCTGCTCATCTGAGGATAGTCAGCACCTGGGGTGTGGGAATGGAGACTCTGTTCCTTCAGTGCAGTCCCAATCGAGGCTCAGTCCTTCACCATCACCGAGGTGATTGGATCAAGTCCATGAACTCTAAGTCTCCCTTTCCTCATCTGTCAGGTAGAAAACCACATCTCTGGGCCACAGGAGCCCGATGGAGACACAGGCATAAATGACAAACCCAGGCAGGATCCTGCAACATCAGCTGGGTTGGCCAGGTTGCAGGAGACCCTGACATGCCTGTACCATCAGCAAACCATCTATCACTTTTACCATTCTTTGCTCCTGCTCCCTCACCCTCTATTCTATCATCATGTATTTCCCATACATTAATTACCTGACCTGGAGCTCAAAACAGGGTGCTGACAGGGAAACATAGGATTTTGCCTGTTCACTAGGCAGGTGAGGATAGACCTCATATTTTAAAATATAGGAGTGGGATGGGCATTCTCTTTAGTGCCCTCTTCACCTCCCTATTTCCCATCATCTTAACTTAGACACACATCCTCAGGAGGAATTCACAAATGCACTCTCGCCAGATCTAAACCCTGCAGTAGCTAGCTTCCTAGCTTGGCACCTTCTCTATAGCATCTAGCCCAGGAGATCCCTCTGACTTTATTGGGATGGTTGTGTGATACCCGTATCAGGACAGAGCCACCAACAGGATAATGCATGGATATTCTAGTGTCCCCTCACTCTTACTTCCTCACAGGCTCACAGTGCATACCCACTGGTGTTTACTGTAACAAAGAAAGGCTCTGCTGTGGTCTGAAGAGAAAGCTCACCATCCTTCCTCACCTGAGCAGCTGGTCCAGGTGGCCTTCGAGGAAAGAGACGGAGTGCATAGACAGATTCTGGAAATAGTCCAGCTTGAGGAACTGAGAGGTGAATCGGGCAATGAACTGCCCCTTGTTGTCTGGGGGAATGCAGGCAGATGCACGGATGTTGAAGAGAACAAGTTTGCGGAGATTCCTCATCTGGCCCAGGTAAGGGGCAAACTTCACAAGAGTGGACAGCTCCCAGGGGCAGCACACTTCCACCTCCTGGATACAGTCAAGCTCCACCATGTTCAGGACCTCTATGATACTGTGGATGGGCATTCCAAAAACCTGCAGCTCCTTGCAACACACATGCAGTAAGCCTTTTCTCTGCTTGCCCCACTCTAAGAGGTGGGTGAGGCATTCATCTAGTGTCCTGTTCTTGAGACAAAGGTCTATGAACACCATGAATGGCTGCTGCCTGCCTGTCCCTGGACAGTTATCTGCTGTTTGCTTCTGACTCAGAGCCTCCGGGAAGGATGCAGTAGCTCCAGAAAATATGTCGCAGAAGTTCTCATCCACATTCCTCAAGTCCAGCACTTGAAGTTTTGACTGCCTGTGGGTAAAGGAGAAGAGAGGCTCCAAACTAAGGCAAGGACCTGAGCTTTTATTTACATCCCAGACATCAGCTGTTCTCCTCTCTGCCACTTTTCCCTCTCTGATTTTGTCCAACCCCTTTTCCCTCCGGATTTTGCCTCATCCCCATTGCCTGTAGCTTTCAGAGCCACTAGAAGAGAAGTTTCTGTTTCCTCAGTGGACCCTGCATGGTGAGCAGTCCTTTCCCAGAGGGGCTGGGCAATGGCCAAGGCCTTCCTGAGCTTCCTCACTGGCACCATCAGAAACCTCTGGGCCTCCATGGTGCCCCTCCTCCTCCTGAAACAGCTGTCCCTACCCTGGACAAAAGGGCCCTCCCCACCTGGACACCTGGGTCACCTCACCTGGGGCGAACCTCTTGGGTCAACAGCACATCAACCCCTTCCAGCACAGATTTTAATGACTCCAGATGAGGCGACTTCATCAGGGACCCTAGAGGGAGGCGGGTGAAAGGCCAGGCCTGCACCATTGTTTTCAGGGTTTCACAGCGTCTCCTGCTGAAGGCCTCCATGAACAGTGTGGGGAAGAGCTCCCTGGGCAGCTCCTCCATGGTGGAGATGGCCAAGGCCTGGTCCCTCAGCAGCCTCTGCCTTGCCAGCTCCAGGAGTCTGGGTGGGGCCCTGATGCTCATCTTGATGAATCTGCAAGGGAAAACTCTAGAGGACAAATCCAGAGAAAAGGCATCACTCTCAGGCCAAATATGATCACCTCATCTTCTCCTATTGCTAATCTCATTGCTCTGGTGGAGGTGGAAAAGCCCTCAATTCCCCCCAGTTCCATTCTGCACTTGGTGGCCACAAATCTGTATCTGTGCCCCTGTGACTACCACAAAGAATGTCTTTCAAACACCAAGGAGGGGACGAGGTGGCCAGTGGCCCATTAATTTCTATACATTGCTCCACTGAAACTCAGGATTACTGGGATCTGTCACTCAGGATCCTGAAAGCTAAGCTCCACCTTTTTGAGGGAAATTTTTTTGTTACTTACCACCCAAAAACAATGAGAATGACTGTCCTGTGGCCCCACACAGCCTGCATTCTCAGTTTACACAATTAGCATGCTTGGGGAAGACTGAAGTGACTCCTTAAAATCAATGCCACTTGTTTTTATTTTGAAAAATTATAAGAGAAACTATAAAAGCAGTGTGGCAGTATTCTAGAGCACTTGGAAGGTGCGGGTGGAAACACTAAGTCTCAGATGAAGGATCCAATACTCATCCCTTCTACATACTCACAATCACCCACTTAGGGACAGAGTCTAAGGGCAGAGATAAATCCCATGTTCAGAACAAGACTCGAGAAAATCACAATACAACTAAGTGTGTGAACTGTAGCTGAAGGGCACAGAAACAAATAACTTCACATGTCAAGACATAAAAATTCATCCAACTGTAAATTTTTAATATCTTTTTTAAAAAACTGCTTCAATAAGAATTTTGAAATGAGAAAAATGAAGCAGAAATCAAAATTTGAGGGATGAAGTGAATACTATATTTAGAGGAAAAATCAAAACCTACATCTGTTAAATTGAAAAAACAGACAGGAAATTCTCTGTGCCACTTTGGGCTGTGTGTCACCATCCCTGACTGGCTGGCTGCAGATCAGATGGGCATGTTCCTAAGGAGGTGGTGACTTACCAGATCTGGACTCAGTTTGTAGGGTGCTGGGATCTCTCAGAGAATCAAGCAGTAGTTCCAGGCACCAGGGCTTTGGGTCTCTCCTTTGCAAACTCAGGAGCTTTTATTGATGTTTCTAACCACACCCTCCCCTTCTCAATCACCAGCTTCCAATCAGAAAGTGATACCTGATTAGATTCCGAAGTTCCACCTAGTTAGTCCTGATTGAGTTTTACACTTTCTTCTGATTCATTGATTAAATTAGATGTGCATTTATGAAAGTGAAAGAATAAATAACAGGGTGAAAGTCCAAAACTCATTAATTCATTTATTCCCCAAACACTGATGAAGTTTGACTAATATGTGACCTTCATAGAGACATGGAAGGTTTAATCTGTTCCTGACATTAGAAAGAAAAAACAAAACCTGATGATATCTTTATGGGAAAATCTGTGGCCACATCGAAATTATCAAAACGTTTCGTTAAGACAGTTAAAACAGCTTTAAAAAGACAGTGATGTCCACCCTAAGAAAACGGATTAAAAAGCTCCTTTATCCAATGGTCACCTGGGTTTTATGTTTTATAACAGGGCAGGTCATATGTGGGTTCAGGTTGAAAAGGGGACCACGGAGGGTGTGATTGATCACAAGACTAAGGTCAAGGCTTCACTGAAGGAAATCAGGACAGAATGACAAAGTGAGGTGGCGGCTGGGCAGGATGGGACCGGGTGTTCTAGTAGAACCCTGGGAAGGAACCAAGACAGCATAAAACATGGTGGGTATTTTGTGGGCATCTCCACAGAAGGATTGAAAGACTCTGTCTAGATTGAGTTTAAAAATTAAAAAGGGAATAATTACAAAAGAGACAGTGCAGACTCTTCAAACACAACATTGTCTTTGAGGGCAGAGGAGGCAGATACAGTCTTGGCCTCTACTACAAGGGAAAGCGTGTTTACTCCCAAAAATGATGGGCTCGCCTCGGAAAATCAGCCTGGGAAGATGGAATCTGAGAATGTGAGCTGGGGCAGATGCCAGAGGAAGGAAGGAAGGAAGGGAGGGAGGAAGGAAGGAAGGGAGGGAGGGAGGGAGGGAGGGAGGGAGGGAGGGAGGGAAGGAGGGAGGGAGGGAGGGAAGGAAGGAAATGAAAGAAAGAAAGAAAGAAAGAAAGAAAGAAAGAAAGAAAGAAAGAAAGAAAGAAAGAAAGAAAGAAAGAGAGAGAGAAACTCAGCCTTCCTGTCTTTAAGAACGGTGCACACATCTGGTTGTATTGTGTGCAAATGTACAATACATTTCCCCAACAAAACCTGGAAGCTCTATTTCATGTTAAAAGATCTGCTAAGTTCAGGGATGGCTCCCATCCTAAGCAGGATCACACAGTCATTCTTCTGCTATTTTAGGGCACAAAGTAGCAAGAACGTCCCCCGCCTCCAGAAAGTCCTCCAGGCCTTTCTCTCCCATTCCATATGAAACCCAAACAGCCCGGAGATGCCACTGGCTTCCAAAACTGAAGTACTTTGAAGGATGTTCTCCATCATGGAATATTTCTGTAAATGTTCTTTCTCCACATTTCTGACCTCACTATCAATGCCCTGCTATGTGTGCAATCGAGTTAAACTGAAACGTGCTCAGTGCGGCTTCTACTTCACCTGCCCTCACTTTGTGAGCCTGAGGCTGAGGGTGAGCTCAGCACCAAAGGTGATCCTGAGTGTCTCTGTTGATTGAGCATGCACAAGGCACAGCAGGGACTGGTACCATTCATCCAAGATCTCAGCTCTCCCTCACGAGGAATCTAAGGCATGTTGCTATATTCCTCATTTTTAAAGTGGTGACCCTGAGACTTGGCTAGGGAGAGGAACCTGCCCGTGTTCAGGCAGCAAATGATGGACAGACCCCTCTGGTGAGGAGCTCAGAGGATCCCCTAAGGAGTTCAATAATCTAAATGTTGAAAAGAACTGATTGACAGACTTTCCCTTCCTGCCCAATTCAGAAGGTCCAGCACCACCCCCAGGACCCCAGTGAGAATCCCGCACTTGGGGGCATTTCTACCATGTCCTGTCACCTGTTCTTCTCAAGGTGCTCATCTGCTGTCAAACTCAGAGCATCCTTCAGAGCCCCTCTGAGAAGATGACCTGACCCCTTCTCCACTCACAGAATCTCCACCAGAATACCAAAGCTCCCCCAGGCACTTGCTCAGGGTCTCTAGAATATTTCTGAGCTTCTGTTTCCCTCCTGCAGACTGAGCTGTCAAGGCAGGTATCTCTTTATGCATCCTGGATACCTCAGCCCAAATCTCCTGAACAACAGAACATGGCCACAATGCTGGGAGACCTTCACCCCAGAGCAGTCATTGAGGAATTCTCCCAAAATTCTATTGAGCTATTTTGGTGAACATGAGAAGCCATAAAGCAGGGAGTTCCTCAGCTGCTGCTCTGGCCCTAAAGAGGCCCCTGGGACAGGACTGCTGGAGGGTGACCCTGCCTGGCACGCAGAAGGAGACCTGAGTCCTCTGGTCTTCCTATGGGTGCCAGGCTGAGAAGAGGTCCTGGGAAATGTCTCGGTGCAGGGGCCATCCCTTCCCAGGCTCCCCTGGGTCAGCCTTAGAGCTGACAAGGCTGCACCTGGAATGCAGTCAGTCTGTTTCTGTCCAAGTCAGGTCTCTTCTTAGCCTGAGCTGTTCACCCTCTGTGCATTTCTAAGAGTCAAAATCTCTGTTCTGGCCCTGTTGCCCTTCTCTGGTCCTCAACCGGGTCTGATTCCAGGTCAGATTCATGCACATCGTGTGCTAAAGTAGGGGCTTCCTCTCTTTCTTCCTCCAATCAAGTCTGAGGACAAGGTCACCCTGAAAGCAGACACTTGATGCTGAGGGAGGTGCTCAGAGCCTGGGGTGGGAGGAGGTCTGCACCCTCACTCCAGGCTGGACAGAGCCAGAGGGACTGAAAGTAGGAATGGGGCCAAGAAGGGGAGTGATCAGAGGAGCTGATGGGGCTGAAATAAAGGGGAAGGAGGGAGGTGGCAGCAGAGCAGGCAGCCAGGTTCTCTGGCTCTCATAGAGCTGTGTCTCTGAAAGGCAGGGACTTGTGTCTGAGACCGTGGGGCACTGGGGCTTGGACTTGGGTCTGTGAGTTCCCAAGACACTTTATGTGCCCTGGTCTGCATGAGGTTTTAGTGGCTGCCCCATCCTGCCCCAGGGGCACAGAGTCAGGAGAGTGGGGAGTCCCAGGAGAGGAAGAGCGGGTGGCGAGTGTCCATCCTGGATCCAAAGACAAGCAGCAGGTCAGAAGGAAGCAGCTGTGGCTTGAGGCCAAGGAAAGGATTCTCTTTGGAAATCGTGCAGCTCCATCTTTTCACTGGTCAGAGCCTTATGGGACGGTGAGGACTGGGCTTTTCAGGAGGGAATGAAAAAGAATGGGGTCTGGCTCAGAGTCCCTGACATCCAAGTTATTCCAAACCTCCTCTGACAAGCAAAGGGAAAATCATGGAGGATGGAAGTCAAACCAAGGCTCACATGGCTGCCCAGAGCTTTCCAGTGGATCCAGAGAGGGCACAATGATCCTCAGTCAGAAAAGTCCTCCAATGTCCAGCACTGAGGCCCAACAAGAGTGCCTGGAGGGGACTCTCTGTGACATGTCTGAAGAGAAGATTCTGGCACATGTGACTCCTCCCACACCCTCTGCCTCCCCCTGACTCCTCTCCCCTTGATTCATTCAAAGACCTTCACTGAGCACCAGGGATTGCTTCCTGCAATTCCGGGTGCTACCAGGGAAGATGAATAAAATGCAAGGAAGCTGGAAAATGAACTCAGCAGAGGACACCAGGCTCAGCACTGCAATCCCGGTCAGAAAAATAACTCTGCAGGCTGCGCGGTACAGAGCGATCATAATAACCCATGGGGATAATCACAGGTGTCCCAAATCCTTTAATCACTTTTTGTTGGAATATGAAGAGGTCTCTCACTGCTGAATATAAATATACAGGGAAGTGAAAAACATTAGTAAAACGAACATTTACTAAGTGCAATGTGACTCAAAGCACTGAGAAGCCAAGGGTTTTATTTCTTTGAAACAACTTGCCAAGGCAGTTTGAACAGTGATCATCTTCCTCCTGGGCTCAGCACCGCAGAGGCAGCTGGTGTCTTCTCCACCTGGGAGAGTTGTCCTGCTTTTTTTTAAGTTGGGATAGGCCAGTGAGTCGGGAAGTTTGTTCATCTTGGGCTTGGGGTACAGGAGGAGTTGGTGGGGTGCCTGTGGCCACTCCACTGCCCTCTGGGATTAGGAGGAGACAGTGGGGTCAGGACTCACCCCCTGGCCTGTGCTTCAGGTGATCCCTCTCTGTCCTGTGGATGTGGGGTTGGGAGCAGGTTTGGGGTCCTCGCCTATCCCCATTGGCTCTTCTTGGGAAGATGAATTTATGGGGCACCTGCAGGTGGCCACGTGTGGGAAGGAATCTCAGAACTTACATGGATCCATGCAAATGAGGCTTCCTTCAGGCAGACACAGGAACTCTGAGCCTCCCTGATGCTGCAGGCACCTGGGTTTGGGGACCCTCTTGGAGACAAATGCATGGAGCGTCCCAGCAAGTTTCCCTGTCTCCCAGCTCCTCCCTGGGCTTCTGCATCCGGGAGTCAGGGCCGGATCAAGAGAAGCCCTGCGGGGAGTGGGAAGGACATAGGATTCTCAGGGTCTCAAGTTCAGCTTTTAACATTATCCTCAAAGGTGGGGTTTTTCCCAGAGGCCTCCTTTCCACAGATCCCATGCCTTCTTGCTGGACTCACGGGAAACTTGCCCTGCTAGAGACATGGCATATTTTACTTTTCTGTGCCATGGAGCCATGCTGGAGAGCTGTGACTTCCTAGCTGACCACACACACACATAAACATGTAAACACCATGAGGTCATTGTAGGGATGCCCACTGGGCCTGCGGTTCTCCCATAGCACCCAGTTCATAAAAGCCTCCCTTTCACTCACCTGGGGCCTGGAGTCATTGGCCTCCTCCTGTCTCATTGATCCAGCATTTGGCCTTGACTGGCCAGTGACTCAGACCCCAGCAAGAAGGACAAAATGACTAGTTCACGTGCTTTAGGGGAAACACAGAGAGAATGAGAAGACCAGTGTCTGAACTGGCAGGTTGTGAATTGGCTCAGGGAGATGAGACTGGAGAGGTGCAGCCAGGGGCAAGGGTGACTCAGGGGTCATTGGCAGTTTGGGATTAGGGTTGTGAGGCCACTTGAAGCCTATCTTCCACATCCCCGAGGTGGCTGAGAGGACCGTGTTCCCTGGGGGGACAACCAGAGGGCAGGGACACGCTTCAGAAGATTCTTGCACTGTCCAGACAGGAGGTCCTGGTGTCCACTTGAGTGGCCATGGACAGCATAGGGACGTCCTGGAGGCAGAGTCAGCAGGACTTGCTCTTAATTCTTCCTGGGGTGGATGTGAAGCTTGTGTCCTGGCAGAGGGAGTGGTTGGCACAGGAGAGGACTCTGCCTTAGGGCTGAGTTATCCCCTGTGGCCTCAACTGTTTTCCTGATTATGCCTGTTGTCTTTGAATGTCAACAAAAGTAGCCAACATTTATGGAGGGTTTATTATGCCCCATGCTTTGGGCTCAGCATTTTTACCTGAAGATTGAGATTATCCTTCTACACATTTGATGGAGAAAGAGACACATTCAAAGAGAGAGGGAGAAATTTTCAAGGTCAGACAGCCTGTAAGTGGTGGGACTGGAATGACGGAATGTCTGTTTGTCAACATCTTTGGCGGTGACATGATACTGTCCCAGTCCCTGCAATCTGCTGCTCATTTTCATCCTTTCAAATAAAACTCCACAGTCAGAGGCTTGTGCAAGAGTTGGGGTCCAGAGCATCAGGTCTAATGTTTGCTATGTTTATATTCACTGCCAAATCTGTTATTCCAAAGAAATTTTACTAGTGAAATAGAAATACGTTGTCTGACAGCATTACCCCCTGTGATATGGTTTGGATCGAACCATTGCTCTCCAGCCTGGCAACAGAGTGAGACTCCATCTCCAAAAAAAAAAGCAATTAATTATAACAACACGTCCATTCACTCTCCAAAGTGTCTGGGACTGGACAATTAATTGTCAGGCCCTCTTCTGTAGCACCATACACTAGAGCATATACGTGGATTAAAATAAATACACACACAAAATGCAAGTATATATTCTTTTTTCATTATTATTATACTTTAAGTTTTAGGGTTCATGTGCACAACGTGCAGGTTTGTTACATATGTATACATGTGCCATGTTGGTGTGCTGCACCCATTAACTCATAATTTAGCATTAGGTATATCTCCTATTGCTATCCCTCCCCCCTCCCCCCACCCCACAACAGTCCCCGGTGTGTGATGTTCCCCTTCGTGTGTCCATGTGTTCTTATTGTTCAATTCTCACCTACGAGTGAGAACACCTATGAGTTTTGTTCTAGGGTTTTTATGGTTTGAGGTCTAACATGTAAGTCTTTAATCCACCTTGAATTAATTTTTCTATAAGGTGTAAGGAAGGGATCTAGTTTCAGCTTTCTACTTATGGCTAGCCAGTTTTCCCAGCACCATTTATTAAATAGGGAATTGTTTCCCCATTTCTTGTTTTTGTCAGGTTTGTCAAAGATCAGATAGTTGTAGATATGTGGCATTATTTCTGAGGGCTCTGTTCTGTTCTGTTGGTCTATATCTCTGTTTTGGTACCAGTACCGTGCTGTTTTGGTTGCTGTAGCCTTGTAGTATAGTTTGAAGTCAGGTAGCATGATGCCTCCAGCTTTATTCTTTTGGCTTAGGATTGACTTGGCAATGCGGGCTCTTTTTTGGTTCTATATGAACTTTAAAGTAGTTTTTTCCAATTCTGTGAAGAAAGTCATTGGTAGCTTGATGGGGATGCCATTGAATCTATAAATTACCTTGGGCAGCATGGCCATTTTCACCATATTGGTTCTTCCTACCCATGAGCATGGAATATTCTTCCATTTGTTTGTATCCTCTTTTATTTCATTGAGCAGTGGTTTGTAGTTCTCCTTGAAGAGGTCCTTCACATCCCTTGTAAGTTGGATTCCTAGGTATTTTATTCTCTTTGAAGCAATTGTGAATGGGAGTTCACTCATGATTTGACTCTCCATTTGTCTGTTAGTGGTGTATAAGAATGCTTGTGATTTTTGCACATTGATTTTGTATCCTGAGACTTTGCTGAAGTTGCTTATCAGCTTAAGGAGATTTTGGGCTGAGACGATGGGGTTTTCTAGATATATAATCATGTCATCTGCAAACAGGGACAATTTGACTTCCTCTTTTCCTAATTGAATTCCCTTTATTTCCTTCTCCTGCCTGATTGCTCTGGCCAGAACTTCCAACACTATGTTGAATAGGAGTGGTGAGAGAGAGCATCCCTGTCTTGTGCCAGTTTTCAAAGGGAATGCTTCCAGTTTTTGTCCATTCAGTATGATATTTGCTGTGGGTTTGTCATAGATAGCTCTTATTATTTTGAGATGCGTCCCATCAATACCTAATTTATTGAGAGTTTTTAGCATGAAGGTTGTTGAATTTTGTCAAAAGCCTTTTCTGCATCTATTGAGATAATCATGTGGTTTTTGTCTTTGGTTCTGTTTATATGCTGGATTATGTTTATTGATTTTCGTATGTTGAACCAGCCTTGCATCCCAGGGATGAAGCCCACTTGATCATGGTGGATAAGCTTTTTGATGTGTTGCTGGATTCAGTTTGCCAGTATTTTATTGAGGATTTTTGCATCAATGTTCATCAAGGATATTGGTCTAAAATTCTCTTTTTTTGTTGTGTCTCTGCCAGGCTTTGGTATCAGGATGATGCTGGCCTCATAAAATGAGTTACGGAGGATTCCCTCTTTTTCTATTAAGTGGAATAGTTTCAGAAGGAATGGTACCAGCTCCTCCTTATACCTCTGGTAGAATTCGGCTGTGAATCCAACTGGTCCTGGACTTTTTTTGGTTGGTAAGCTATTAATTATTTCCTCAATTTCAGAGCCTGTTATTGGTCTGTTCAGAGATTCAACTTCTTCCTGGTTTAGTCTTGGGAGGGTGTGTATGTCGAGGAATTTATCCATTTCTTCTAGATTTTCTTGTTTATTTGCGTAGAGGTGTTTATAGTATTCTCTGATGGTAGCTTGTATTTCTGTGGGATCAGTGGTGATATCCCCTTTGTCATTTTTTATTGCATCTATTTGATTCCTCTCTCTTTTCTTCTTTATTAGTCTTACTAGCAGTCTATTAATTTTGTTGATCTTTTCAAAAAACCAGTTCCTGGATTCATTGATTTTTTGAAGGGTTTTTTGTGTCTCTATTTCCTTCAGTTCTGCTCTGATCTTAGTTATTTCTTGCCTTCTGCTAGCTTTTGAATGTGTTTGCTCTTGCTTCTCTACTTCTTTTAATTGTGATGTTAGGGTGTCAATTTTAGATCTTTCCTGCTTTCTCTTGTAGGCATTTAGTGCTATAAATTTCCCTCTACACACTGCTTTGAATGTGTTCCAGAGATTCTGGTATGTTGTGTCTTTGTTCTCATTGGTTTCAAAGAACATCTTTATTTCTGCCTTCATTTCGTTATGTACCCAGTAGTCACTCAGGAGCAGATTGTTCAGTTTCCATGTAGTTGAGCAGTTTTGAGTGAGTTTCTTAATCCTGAGTTCTAGTTTGATTGCACTGTGTTCTGAGAGACAGTTTGTTATAATTTCTGTTCCTTTACATTTGCTGAGGAGTGCTTTACTCCCAACTATGTGGTCAATATTGGAATAGGTGTGGCGTGGTGCTGAAAAGAATGTACATTCTGTTGATTTGGGGTGGAGAGTTCTGTAGATGTCTATTAGGTCTGCTTGGTGCTGAACTGAGTTCAATTCCTGGATATCCTTGTTAACTTTCTGTCTCATTGATCTGTCTAATGTTGACAGTGGGGTGTTAAAGTCTCCCATTATTATTGTGTGGGAGTCTAAGTCTCTTTGTAGGTCACTAAGTACTTGCTTTATGAATCTGGGTGGGGCAACCCGCTCGGGTCCCCTTCCACAGTGTGGAGGCTTTGTTCTTTCGCTCTTTGCAATAAATCTTGCTACTGCTCAAAAAAAAAAAAAAAAAAAAAAAAGTATGAATCTGGGTGCTCCTGTATTGGGTACATATATATTTAGGATAGTTAGCTCTTCTTGTTGAATGGATCCCTTTACCATGATGTAATGGCCTTCTTTGTCTCTTTTGATCTTTGTTGGTTTAAAGTCTGTTTTATCAGAGACTAGGATTGCAACCCCTGCCTTTTTTTGTTTTCCATTTGTTTGGTAGATCTTCCTCCATCCCTTTATTTTGAGCCTATGTGTGTCTCTGCACGTGAGATGGGTTTCCTGAATACAGCACACTGATGGGTCTTGACTCTTTATCCAATTTGCCAGTCTGTGTCTTTTAATTGGAGCATTTAGCCCATTTATATTTAAGGTTAGTATTGTTATGTGTGAATTTGTTCCTGTCATTATGATGTTAGCTGGTTATTTTGCTCATTGGTTGATGCAGTTTCTTCCTAGCCTTGATGGTCTTTACAACGTGGCATGTTTTTGCAGTGGCTGGTACTGGTTGTTCCTTTCCACGTTTAGTGCTTCCTTCAGGAGCTCTTTTAGGGCAGGCCTGGTGGTGACAAAAATCTCTCAGCATTTGCTTGTCTGTAAAGTATTTTATTTCTCCTTCACTTATGAAGCTTAGTTTGGCTGGATATGAAATTCTGGGTTGAAAATATTTTTCTTTAAGAATGTTGAATATTGGCCCCCACTCTCTTTCTGGCTTGTAGAGTTTCTGCCAAGAGATCAGCTGATAGTCTGATGGGCTTCCCTTTGTGGGTAACCCGACCTTTCTCTCTGGTTGCCCTTAACATTTTTTCCTTCATTTCAACTTTGGCGAATCTGACAATTATGTGTCTTGGAGTTGCTCTTCTCGAGGAGTATCTTTGTGGCATTCTCTGTATTTCCTGAATTTGAATGTTGGCCTGCCTTGCTAGATTGGGGAAGTTATCCTGGATAATATCCTGCAGAGTGTTTTCCAGCTTGGTTCCATTCTCCCCACCACTTTCTGGTACACCAGTCAGACATAGATTTGGTCTTTCCACATAGTACCATATTTCTTGGAGGCTTTGTTTTTTTCTTTTTATTCTTTTTTCTTTAAACTTCTCTTCACACTTCATTTCATTCATTTCATCTTCCATCGCTGATACCCTTTCTTCCAGTTGATTGCATATGTTAATGAGGCTTGTGCATTCGTCATATAATTCTCATGCTATGGTTTTCAGCTCCATCAGGTCCTTTAAGAACTTCTCTTCATTGGTTATTCTAGTTATCCATTTGTCTAATTTTTTCCCAAAGTTTCTAACTTCTTTGCCATTGGTTCCAACTTCCTCCTTTATCTCGGAGTAGTTCGATCTTCTGAAGTCTTCTTCTCTCAAATCATCAAAGTCATTCTCCATCCAGCTTTGTTCTATTGCTGGTGAGGAGCTGCGTTCCTTTGGAGGAGGAGAGGCACTCTGAATTTTAGAGTTTCCAGTTTTTCTGCTCTGTTTTTTGCCCATCTCTGTGGTTTTATCTACCTTTGGTCTTTGATGATGGTGATGTACAGATGGGTTTTTGGTGTGGATGTCCTTTCTGTTTGTTAGTTTTCCTTCTAACAGTCAGGACTCTCATCTGCAGTTCTGTTGGAGTTTGCTGGAGGTCCACTCCAGACCCTGTTTGCCTGGGTATCAGCAGCAGAGGCTGCAGAACAGTGGATATTGGTGAACCGCAAATGCTGCTGTCTGATCTTTCGTCTGGAAGTTTTGTCTCAGAGGAGTACCCAGCTGTGTGAGGTGTCAGTCTGCCCCTACTTGGTGTTGCCTCCCAGTTAGGCTACTCGGGGGTCAGGGACCCACTTGAGGAGGGAGTCTGCCCGTTCTCAGATCTCAAGCTGCATGCTGGGAGAACGACTACTCTCTTCAAAGCTGTCAGACAGGGACATTTAAGTCTGCAGAGGTTATTGCTTTCTTTTGTTTGTCTGTGCCCTGCCCCCAGAGGTGGAGTCTACAGAGGCAGGCAGGCCTCCTTGAGCTGTGATGGGCTCCACCCAGTTCCAGCTTCTGGGCTGCTTTGTTTACCTACTCAAGTCTCGGCAATGGTGGGGGCCCCTCCCCCAGCCTTGCTGCCGCCTTGCAGTTTGATCTCAGGCTGCTGTGCTAGCAATGAGCAAGGCTCCGTGGGCACAGGACCCTCCAAGCCAGGTGTGGGATATAATCTCCTGGTGTGCAGTTGTTACGCCCATTAGAAAAGCGCAGTATTAGGGTGGGAGTGACCTGATTTTCCAGGTGCCATCTGTCACCCCTTTCTTTGACTAGGAAAGGGAATTCCCTGACCCCTTGTGCTTCCCAGGTGAGGCGATGCCTCGCCCTGCTTCAGCTCACGCACGGTGCACTGCACCCACTGTCCTGCACCCACTGTCTGGCACTCCCCAGTGAGTTGAACCTGGTACCTCAGTTGGAAATGTAGAAATCACCCATCTTCTGCATCACTTATGCTGGGAGCTGTAGACTGGAGCTGTTCCTATTCAGCCATCTTAAGTATATATTCTAAATACTTTCTATATACTTATATTCTAAGAGGTCACATGCAAATTCAAGGCTAGGTCAAAGAGTAGAGTGGCTATCTATGGAAAGGGGAGTGGAAGTGAATCATGGTAATAAAAATTAAGTATAGATATAGATAGGAATAGATAGACATACACACATATAGCTGCAAGAAAGGGGAATGTCATGGACCAATGATGTCAGTGAGCCATGTAAAAAGGCTACAATTCTTGTGATTGTGTGTCTGTTTTCAGGATGGGTTGTAGCTTACCTTTTTAGAAAGGCTGATGCCACAGCCATAGTGAATAAATGGTTATAAAATGTGTTTCCTTTCTGGGGCATCTCTGGAGAAATCTCCAGTGGTAGGAGAACTCCGTTTACTGGGCAGGTGATCACACAGATAAGATTTTTCAGATCCAATGGCACTACCATTAACTTCATTATCCTTGGTATTCTACAAAGGTCGAGTGAAGAAATGGTATCTTGAAACTAAAATTAGCTAAACTAACAAAGGAGACTGGGTTAATTTTTTTTTTTTTTTTTTTTGAGACAGAGTCTCTGTTACCCAGGCTGGAGTTCAGTGGTGCTATCTCAGCTCACTGCAACCTCTGCCTCCTGGGTTCAAGTGATTGTCATGCCTTAGCCTCCCAAGTAGCTGGGATTACAGGCATACCACCACACCCAGCTAATTTTTGTATTTTTAGTAGATAACGGGGTTTCACCATGTTGCCCAGATTGCTCAACTCCTGGCCTCAAGTGATCCACCAGCCTCGGCCTCCCAAAGTGCTGAGATTACAGGTGTGAGCCATCATGTCCAGCAAGACTGGATTACTTTAATGAAATTTTTACCACCCCCTATGGGAAAACACAGCCAGATCCCCCATAAGGTATTTTTTTTTCACCAACTGCAATCAGAAACACTGATAATTAAGTATTTACTGGAGAACCTATGCCTTTGATAATAGAACATTATGTATCCCCTGCACTTTTTAGCTCTGATCATGTAACCAGAGGATCAACTCCAACAGATTAGTCATTGCTTAAGTTGTTACAGGTGATGACGCAAAGCCCAAATTGCTCAGGCATGTCCGATGGGAAAAAGGTTTAACCTCTTAACTATTAACACAGCCAGGCGGACTGTTTGAATTGGCATCATCTGAAACCAGTTGGAGAGATGATGCAAGCTTGCTCCACCATCCCCAGATTGGGGAGACAGGTTTAGAACTTGTCTCCTATCTGCTTGTCAGTTAACTCTTTTTTATTTTTATTTTTATTTTTTTCTTTGAGACAGAGTCTCACTCTGTTGCCCAGGCTGGAGTGCAGTGGCATGATCTCAGCTCACTGCAACATTGGCCTTCCAGGTTCAAGTGATTCTCCTGCCTCAGCCTCCCCAGTAGCTGGGATTACAGGCATGCACCACCATGCCCAGCTAATTTTTGTATTTTTGTATATTTATTTATTTATTTATATATTGATCATTCTTGGGTGTTTCTCACAGAGGGGGATTTGGCAGGGTCATAGGACAATACTGGAGGGAAGGTCAGCAGATAAACAAGTGAACAAAGGTCTCTGGTTTTCCTAGGCAGAGGACCCTGCGGCCTTCCGCAGTGTTTGTGTCCCTGGGTACTTGAGATTAGGGAGTGGTGATGACTCTTAACGAGCATGCTGCCTTCAAGCATCTGTTTAACAAAGCACATCTTGCACCACCCTTAATCCATTTAACCCTGAGTGGACACAGCACATGTTTCAGAGAGCACAGGGTTGGGGGTAAGGTCATAGATCAACAGGATCCCAAGGCAGAAGAAGTTTTCTTAGTACAGAACAAAATGAAAAGTCTCCCATGTCTACTTCTTTCTACACAGACATGGCAACCATCCGATTTCTCAATCTTTTCCCCACCTTTCCCCCTTTTCTATTCCACAAAACTGCCATTGTCATCATGGCCCATTCTCAATGAGCTGTTGGGTACACCTCCCAGACGGGGTGATGGCCGGGCAGAGGGGCTCCTCACTTCCCAGTAGAGGCGGCCGGGCAGAGGCGCCCCTCACCTCCCGGACTGGGCGGCTGGCCGGGCGGGGGGCTGACCCCCCACCTCCCTCCCGGACGGGGCAGCTGGCCTGGCGGGGGCTGACCCCCACCTCCCTCCCGGACGGGGTGGCTGCCGGGTGGAGGGGCTCCTCACTTCTCAGACGGGGCGGCTGCCAGGTGGAGGGTCTCCTCACCTCCCAGAAGGGGCGGCGGGGCAGAAGCGCTCCCCACATCTCAGACGATGGGCGGCCGAGCAGAGACGCTCCTCACTTCCCAGACGGGGTGGCGGCCGGGCAGAAGCTGCAATCTCGGCACCTTGGGAGGCCAAGGCAGGCGGCTGGGAGGTGGAGGTTGTAGCGAGCTGAGATCACGCCACTGCACTCCAGCCTGGGCAACATTGAGCACTGAGTGAACGAGACTACGTCTGTAATCCCGGCACCTCGGGAGGCCGAGGCTGGCGGATCACTCGTGGTTAGGAGCTGGAGACCAGCCCGGCCAACACAGCGAAACCCCGTCTCCACCAAAAAAATACGAGGACCAGTCAGGCGTGGTGGCGCGCGCCTGCAGTCGCAGGCACTGGGCAGGCTGAGGCAGGAGAATCAGGCAGGGAGGTTGCAGTGAGCCGAGATGGCAGCAGTACAGTCCAGCTTCGGCTCGGCATCAGAGGGAGACCGTGGAAAGAGAGGGAGAGGGAGACCGTGGGGAGAGGGAGACCGTGGGGAGAGGGAGACCGTGGGGAGAGGGAGAGGGAGAGGGAGAGGGAGAGCAATTTTTGTATTTTTAATAGAGAGGGAGTTTCACCATATTGGTCAGGCTGATCTGGAGCTCCTGACCTTGTGATCCGCCCACCTTGGCCTCCTAAAGTGCTGGGATTACAGGTATAAGCCACTGTGCCCAGCCCAGTTAACTGTTAATAAATTTTTTTTTCCCAAAATGGAGTCTTGCTCTGTCACCCAGGCTGGAGTGCAGAGGTGCAATCTCGACTCACTGCAACCTCTGCCTCACAGGATCAAGTGATTCTTCTGCCTCAGCCTCCTAAGTAGCTGGGATTACAGACATGGGTCATCACACCCAGCTAATTTGTGTATTTTTCATAGAGACAGGGTTTCACCATATTGGCCAGGCTGGATTCGAACCCCTGACCTTGTGATCCGCCTACCTTGGCCTCCTAAAGTGCTGCAAATATAGGTGTCAGCCACCATGCCCAGCCTTTTTTGCTTTTCTATGCACTTAGGAGAGTGAGCCCATCGTTCAGTAACAATATGACTCAGTACTGCAAGACCTTTCAAAGCCTATTTCCAGTTGGTGAAGGAGGGTTTCGATGATCACTGGACCTTCATGCCCTACCATTTGGAGACTGCATCTTTTAAAATGACACCAAGGGAAATCTGCCCATGAGCAGCATTGGATGGGACCATACCAGGTGACTTAAAATTAAGGATAACCAAGGAACAAAGTCTTTCTTAGAAGCAGACATCATCACATGGTAGACAGCTTTTTTAAGAAAATGGGACAAAACTCCATTTGATCTCCTTCCACTGACTGAGACTTGGTTTTGTTTTGTATTAACACAAAATGATCAAGCCTACATTTTATTTTGTTACGTACTTTCACCAGTCAAAGCAAACACTTTCTAAGTTCTCCTATTCAAAATTTAGCCACTCTCACTAACCAAAGCAATTACTGGCTATGGAGTCATTTAGATGAATGGGAAGGATCACAACTAATAGTAGAACCTGCTCTCACACACGGTTGGTTAATATTGATAATTAAATGACTTGGCACTGAGCAGAAGCTATAGATGCAAATGGGTGGCCTATGACTATTGTTGATTTCATTACTTGTAACTTATCTCCATGCATAGGAAACATTAGTGTAACCGGGTCTAATCTAGGTAGTGTCCCAGACTCCCCTTGGAATCAAACTCTTTCATTTGACACACATTATGAAGACTGAAATGCTATAAGTATTGACATAGACACAGAATCAGAACATGACCATGTTATCCTCTGCCATATAATCAGAGAACTTACTGAAACTAGACATTTGTTCATTGGAAACTCGAGGCAAATAGAATGCATCTATAGCTCTACCATATGAAATAAACAATAGTTTCATTTATTGGATGCATCCATACTCAGCACATATTTGGAGAAGACCCTATTCATTCTTCAATGGAGATGACATGCAAGGATTATATAATAAAATTCATAAAAATATTTTTTCATCCCACCCCAGTTCAAACTGTCACCATGCAACCTGGTGTCAGTGGAAGGTAAGGCGCTTAAGGCAGAAATAATTAAATAAATCTTCATTGGAAGCTAAATGTGAGAATCAATGTGGAAGACACAGACCAACAAAGTGGGTGTGTTCCAAAGTCTGTTACAAGTTGGAATGCTTTTGTGAGAAAAGTTAAAAGAAGGGAATGAGACTCCTCCTATCAGCTTTTTTTTTAAATTTTCTTTTGTTTTACTGACCTGGCAAGGCTCAAATAGAGTTGAGTTTTTGTTTTGTTTTTGTTTTTTCCATTGGAAGGTACAATACAGAGGTTACAATCATTGACTTTAGCTGACAACATAACAAGTTAAACATTTTCCTTGCAAGACAACCAGTGAAACTTCATGATCAGAATCAAATCAGTGTCCTTCTCACTGTAAGTGGGTGAAGCTTCATCAATAATTGCAGAGTTTGAGGCACTCATGAACTCAAGATCAGATTCTTTACTCAGGGACAGAATGTAAGCCAATCATAAGACCTTCCACAGGTGGTTAATTTGGACTCCTGAAAAATGTGACCTGTAAGTTTTCACTGGCAATATGCAGGTGCACATATGACAAATAATAACCAGGACCTTTATATCACCCCCAGCTGGTGGGGAATGGGATCCTTTTGACCCTTTCTCTCCATAATACCAGGCTACTCATGTTGTGTGGCAATAAAATATATGGTCTACTTCACAGAGAAAGAGATTCTTTTTTAAAAAAAAAGGATTTTTATTATGAAATGAGCAAAGCAATGGGAATAGATGTGAGATTATTCAGGGAGGTAAAGGAAGACAAAGGTTTTGAAAGGAAAAATCAGGAGAATTACATACACTGTTTTGGAAGACTCATTCTTGGTCACAAGTATCAACACCAAGGGGGCCTCAGTGCAATGTTGGAAAGATTCCTCCTCCACGCCCTCAATAACCCCCAACATGTTTACCAAGTCTTGGTTCACTCCCCGGATCCCATTAAAACACACAGCTCAACCCTGACCAGCCTCCACCTTCACTTCCCTTTGTAATTTTGACATGACTTTTTTTACAGGACCATCAGGTTCCTATGCCTGCAGCACAGTAGCATACTAATATTCTGAGACAGCAGGGTTTGCAGCAGAGAGTTTAACGATCACAGGGTGGCAAAATGAAAAGCTGGGAGGAGACCCTCAAATTCATCTCCCCAAGAAGTACTGAGAGTTTTCAGAGGATCATGGATAGCAAGAGGCTGGAAAGTTGGTGCAGTTTGGTGGCAGTAAGAGGTATGAAGTCATCAGGATGTCAAAACTGCATTCCTTGGTGAGTTGGTGCCTTGCAGGGCCCTTCAGATCACCTGCCATCAGTAGCTTCACTGACATGCAGAACCTGAAAGAATATGTCAAATGAAAAAGTTAATGTTTTACAAGGCCTAAATTGTTGTCTGCAGGGCAGTTAAGGGCAACTGTAATCTAAGGTCTACATGATTTTGGGACAGCAGGCTGCCAGCAACCATGAGGAAGCAGGTCAGAGAGCAAGCTGACCTCATGATGAATGCTGAATGCACTGCAAGCTTGGTTTATGTCTGTTTCTCCCCCTCCCTTCTTCACTGATTAAATTTATAAAGTTTATAAGTATGGTTGCAATTTCTTCCAGAGTAACCTTAACCTAAGCCCTGAGACCACTCAGGTCCTCAGTGGCACCTCTCTTCCACCAGCAGGAGTGAAAAAATTGCTACCTTAGGTGATATAAAACCCACAAGACCATTCAATACATGGAGATTTTTATTTTGATTTTGTAGGGACGACTCCTCTGTTTTTATAAAGCTATTTTAACTATAAAACATTTTTGTGATTTTGATGTGGCCAAAGATCTCCCAACAATACTACTTTCAGATTTTAGTTTTCTGTCTAATATCTGGGAAAGATTAGACCCTTCCCTGCTTCAGACTCAGGACTATGCAGGTCACATATTAGTGAAATTCCATCAGTGTTTGTGAAGTTCACGAATGAATGAATTTTTTTTTTCCGACAAATTCTCCCTCTGTCACCCAGAGTGGAGTGCAATGGTGCAATCTTGGTTCACTGCAACCATTGCCTCTTGGGTTCAAGCGATTCTCCCACCTCAGCCTCCTGAGTAGCTGGATTACAGGCATGTGCCATCGTCCCTGCCTAATTCTTGTATTTTTGTAGAGACGGGGTTTCACCTTGTTGGCCTGGCTCGTCTTGAATGTCTGAACTCAGGTGACCCACCCAACTTGTCTTCCCAAAGTGCTGGGATTACAGGAGTGAGCCACCTTGCCCGGTCTTGAATGAATGCATTCTTGATTCCCACCCTATCCCTAACACTGTCAATTTCTTGATTCATGAACTTAATATGGATATCTGATATGAATGGATATCTGATTCAATCCATTAATCTGGGGAGAGCCAAAACCCCAATCAGGATTAACTGGGTGGAGCTTCAGAAATGCAATCAGATATCACTTGTTGATTGGAAGCTAGCAGTGGATACGTGGAGGGGTGTGGGTGGGAGTTGTGATTAGAAAGGTCAATAAAAGCTTCTAAAGACCCACAGAAGAGACCCAAAGTCTTCAAGTCTGGAGTTCCTGCTTAGTTCTTCCTGAGGTCTGAGCACCCTCCAAACTGAGTCCAGATCTGGTAAGTCACTAATCTCTCTGTAAGGACACTCCCAACTGACCTACAGTCAGCTGGTCTGGGATGGTGACAGTGCAGCCTAAGATGGCATAGAGTTATATCCTGTTTTGTTTTTTTTCTCATATGAACAATTTGAAGCTTTGCATTTTTTCCTCTAAATGCAGTTTTGTCTTTATTTCAAAAAATTGGATTGTGCTTTGGTTTATGTCATTTCAAAATTCTTGAAGGGAGCAGTGACTCATGCCTTTAACCCCAACACTTTGGGAGACCAAGGCGGGAGGATCATTTCAGCCCAGGGGTCTGAGACCAACCTGGACAACACGGCAAAAACCCATCTCTATAAAATATTCTTTATTGAAGGGGGGATGGAGTCTCGCTCTGTTTCCAAGGCTGGAGTGCAGTGGCACGATCTCAAATCATTGCAACCTCTGCCTCCCAGGCTCAAGCAATTCTCATGCCTCAGCCTCCTGAGTATCTGGTATTACATCCAACTGCCAACTTGCCTGGCTACTTTTTGTATTTTTAGTAGAGGTGGGGTTTCACCATGCTGGCCAAGTTGGTCTCAAACTCCTGACCTCAAGTGATCCACCTGCCTTGGCCTCCCAAAGTGCTGGGATTACAGCCATGAGCCACTGGTGCTTGGCCTCTACAAAATATACATATTTTTTAATTAGCCGGGCATGGTAGCATGCATCTGTCTTCCCAACTGTATGGGTTGCTGACATGGGAGAAACAATTGAGCCCAGAAGATTGAGGCTGCAGTGAGCCATGCTCATACCACTGCTGTACTCCAGCCTGGGCAACATTGCGAGGCCCTATTAAAGAAAAAAAATCTTAACCAAAGAGGATCTTTGACCTTAATTTTAAACCAATCACATCCTCATTGTAACTCTTCCACCCAAACGGAGACATGGGTGTGGAGGTGCATGCCTGTAATCCCAGCTACATGGAAGGCTGAAGCATAAGTATCACTTGAACCTGGGAGGCAGAGGTTACAGTGAGCTGAGATGGCACCACTGTACTCCAGCCTGGGTGATGAAGTGAGACTCAGCTACCCCGACACGAAAAAAATTAAATTATACCACCCAGGTGATCATTGGATTCATGAAGATTTCTACTGTGTTTTCTTAGGGACTGTCATGTCTATCTTTGTAAAACTGTTTTAACTCTGAAATATTTTGATAAATTTGATGTGGCCAAGGATCTCTCAACAAAGATACTTTCGAGTTTTTTTCTTTCTGTCTAATGTCAGGAAGAGATTCAACTCTTCCCTATCTCACACTCAGAACTACAAAGGTCACATATTACTAAAATTCCATGTTTGTGGAGTAAATCAGTGAATGAGTCCTGGACTTTCACCATATCCCTAAATATTTCACTTTCATGGATGAATATCTAATTTGATAGTTAATCTGGAAGAAAGACAAAAATCCAATCATGATTAACTGGATGGAGCTTAAGAAGTCTAATCCAATGTAGTTCTCTCTCTCTCTCTCTCTTTTTTGAATCTAGCCAATTTCCCAGGCTGGATTGTAGTGGTATAATCTCAGCTAACTGCAACCTATGCCTCCTGGGTTCAAGCGATCCTCCTGCTTCAGCCTCCCTAGTAGCTTGGACTATAGGCGCAGACCACTGCACCTGGCTAATTTTTGTAATTTTAGTAGAGGTAGTGTTTTACCATGTTGGCCAGGATGGTCTCAAACTCCTGACCTCAGATAATCCAATGCCTCTGCCTCCCAAAGTGCTGGGATTACAGGTGTGAGTCACTGCGCACAGCCAAAGTGGTTCATTTTGAACATGCGTAAGAGGTGTGTATTGGAAACATCTGTGTCTTGCGAATGATGCATAACACTGTCACACAGCTTTCAAAGCTTCTTGGTGAAATTTTCAATAATGAGTCCGGGAAGAGGATTACGCCTGTAATCCCAGTACTTTGGGAGGCCAAGGCGGGTGGAATGTTTGAGTCTAGGAGTTCAAGACCAGCCTGGACAACATAGTGAAACCCACTGTCTTTACAAAAAGTCAAAAAATAAAAGATTAGCTGGGCATGAGATCCGAGCTTCAGAGATCCTCGGTAACATTTCCCAGTGCTATGAGTTTATTGCAACAGTGGCTAATAATTCATGGACTAGGAGGGATCTTGCCTGCTCTTTAGAGGTTGGGACACACTCTTCTTGGTACCAGAAGGGCAGAACCATGCCTCTGTAGCCACTTATTGCAGAACGGAATTGGAGTAAACTGAGGGCTCTTTCACACGTGCTAGAGAAATGACTTTGGCCCTAGGAGAAGTGGGGCTTGCTGGGGAATGGCCCGAGAAACTTGCCTTTTCACTTGATTGTCCTCTAGAGTTTTTCCTCGGAGATTTGTCAGAATGAGCCTCCAGGCCCCATCCAGACTGCTGGAGCTGGCAGGGCAGAGCCTGCTGAGGAACCAGTTCTTGACCATCTTCACCCTGGATGAGCTGCCCAGGGAGGTCTTCCCTCTGATGTTCATGGAGGCCTTCAGCATGAGACGTTTTGAGGCCCTGAAGCTGATGGTGCAGGCCTGGCCCTTCCTCCGCCTCCCTCTGGGATCCCTGATGAAGACACCTCATCTGGAGACCTTGCAAGCTGTCCTGAGGGGACTTGATACACTGGTGGCCCAGAAGGTTCGCCCCAGGTGAGGTGACTCAGGTGGCTTTCGGGGAAGGGTCCAGGCATCCAGGGAAGGGACAGCTGGCTCAGGAGGAGTGGTGGGGTTGGGGAGCTAGGGTGGCTCAGAGGCTTCTGACGGTGCCCATGAGAGGCCTTGGCCATTGCCCAGATCCTCTGGAAAAGGTCTGCTCACCATACAGGGTCCACTGAGGAAACAGGAGCTTGCTTCCTCCCAGCAGAAAGTAAAGGTACTAGAAGTGGGTACCAGGCAGAATCCAAGAGGGAGCAGGATGGAGAAGAGACAGAAGGAGGAGCACTGAGGACAGGAGCAGCTGACTGATGTCCTGGATGTGGAGTGAAAGCTCAGGTCAGGGGTGGGTCCTTGCCTACATTCTGAGCTTTTCCCCTATGTTACTCATAGGAGGTGGAAACTTCAAGTGCTGGATTTGCAGGATGTTGATGAGAATTTCTGGACCATATGGTCTGGAGCCAGGGTCCTCTCCTGCTCCCCAGAGGCCATGAGTAAGAGGCAGACAGTGGAGGACTGTCCAAGGATGGGAGAGCACCAGCCCTTGAAGGTGTTCATAGACCTCTGCCTAAAGGAAAGTACACTGGATGAATGCCTGAGCTACCTTTTTGGGTGGATCCACTACAGAAGAGGCCTAGTGCACCTGTGTTGTAGTAAGGTGCAGAATTACTCAATGCCCACTTCAAGTTTCAGAAATCTATTGGAAAGGATATACCCAGACAGTATCCAGGAGTTGGAAGTCTGGAAAAAGTGCTCTCTCAATAAAACGGGAAAGTTTGCCCCTTACCTGAGCCAGATGAGCAATCTTCGTGAACTCTTTTTAGCCTTCGGTTATGAGCGTGAGTTGTACGTGAGCGTCCAGTGGCCGTGCATTCCTGACTTGGACTCTCCATTCCTCTGCCTGTACTACCCCCAGATGCTTTATATAAAAAAGATCAGTAATATCAAAGAGCACCTGGAGCACCTGCTCAGGTAAGAAATGATGGTGAGCTTTCTCTGCAGACCATACCACAGACTTATGTTCTTTTTCACAGTAAATGTTAGTGGGCATCTACTGTGTGCCAGCCACCGGTGATGTCATAGGGAATGGGACGCTAGAATGTCAACTCATTATGCTCTTCAGTGCTCTATATCCTGAAGTGGGTATCACAAGACCACTCAAATAAGGGCAGAGGGATGGCCTGGGGTAGATGCCACAGAGAGAGGTGTGTA
This sequence comes from Homo sapiens, assembly GCF_000001405.40. Lineage (NCBI taxonomy): Eukaryota > Metazoa > Chordata > Mammalia > Primates > Hominidae > Homo > Homo sapiens. The sequence continues at coordinate 273,313 of NW_015495298.1, forward strand.
GGGAGCCGGTTAGTTGAGGGTTCAGATCTAGTGAGGGTGCATTTGTGAACTCCTTGTGAGGAACAGTGTATAAAGTTAATATGATGAAAACACATTCTTCATACAGAGGATGGTATGAAAGAAGGGAAGGTGTGGCCGGTTGTGGTGTCTCATGCCTGTAATCCCAGCACTTCGGGAGGCCAAGGCAGGGAGATCATGAGGTCAGGAATTTGAGACCAGTCTGGCCAACACAGTGAATCCCCGTCTCTAATAAAAATACAAAAAAAAAATGTCACCGGGCATGCAGACAGGCACCTGTAATCCCAGCTGCTTGGGAGACTGAGGCAAGGGAAGTGGAGGCTGCAGTGAGCTGAGTCGGTGCCACTACACTCCAGCCTAGGTTACAATGTGAGACTGTCTCAAAAAAAAAAAAAGAGAAAGTACATCAAACCTGTGCATTCCACAGTAGCAGCTCTGTCTTCAGCAGCTTAGCAAACTGCTCTAATTCCCTGTCTGTAAAACGTTGTTTTGAACTCCAGGAAAGATAATTGATATCAGAAGTGCATGCTTCTGGGATGGAGGGTGAGGGACTAGGTGTGAGAGTGGTACCAATCACACAGGCAAGGGTGAAAGGACTGAGCCTAAAATGGAGTGGCCCCTGAATGATCTGAGTCTTCATCAGGCAGCACCTTGCATGCAGACCATCATCTGATGATGGGAACAAACTTGTGTTTGGGTGAAACAGGCTTCCCCATTGCAGTTACTATAACACCTGTGTGGTAGTAAGGTGCAGAATTACTCAATGCCCACTTCAAGTTTACCATTGAGATGATTTCCCACCCCCCTCCTCTAACTGGCACCATTGCCCATAACTAACTTCTTGCTCTCCCCAGGTACCTCAAGAACCCCTTGGGGGCCTTTATATTCAGTGATGCTTACCTAGCTGATCGGGACATGGAGTGTCTGTCTCAGTACCCAAGCCTCAGTCAGCTAAAGGAGCTGCGTCTGATTCATATCCTAATGTGGACCACCAATCTTCAGCCCCTTGGAGCTCTGCTAGAGAAAGTTGCTGCTACTCTCAAGACCCTCGTCTTAAAGGACTGTCGGATCCAGGACCCCCAACTCAGGGTCCTCCTGCCTGCCCTGAGCCACTGTTCCCAGCTCACCACCTTCAACTTTCATGGAAATGAGACCTCCATGAATGCTCTGAAAGACCTGCTGCGTCACACACGTGGGCTGAGCAAGTTAGGCCTGGAGTTGTATCCTGCCCCTCTGGAGAGTCTTGACTACAAGGGTCATGTCAATTGGGAGATCCTCACCCCAATTCGGGCTGAGCTGATGCGTACACTCAGGGAAGTCAGGCAGCCCAAGAGGATCTTCTTTGGTCCCGTCCCTTGCCCTACCTGTGGCTCATGGCCATCTGAGAAAGTGGACTTCCATCTTTGCTCCTAGGGAAGGCCTGGTTCGTGGGATGGATAAGCTTTTTTCTGGACACTTGGGAACTAAAATATTGTACATGGGTGCATTTTTTAAAATTTTATTTTATTTTTTATATTTTTTATTTTATTTTATTTTTATTTTATTTTATTTTATTTTTTGAGACAGAGTCTCACTGTGTCCCTCAGGATGAAGTGCAGTGGCACAATCTCAGCTCACTGCAAGCACCACCTCCTGGGTTCAAGTGATTCCCCTGCCTCAGCCTCCCAAGTAGCTGGTGTTGTGGGTGTATGCCCCCACGCCTGGCTAATTTTTGTATTTTTAGTAGAGACAGGGCTTCACGATGTTGGCGAAGGCTGACCTCAAACTCCTGACCTCAAGTGATCTGACCACCTTGGCCTTCCACAGTGCCAGGTTTACAGGTGTGAGCAGCAGGGCCCGGTCACCCGCTTCTTAAAGGAAGCACACAGCCACGTATTTGAGGCACGTGCTCACTGTGAGTGGAAAAACAAAGGTGACTCAGCCAGGGGCAGGACTGGGTAAAAATGCTGACTTGGCATCAATGAGGCCTTCAGGGACCTGTGTCCTAGACTTAGAAATGGAACCTGAAGTTCTAGAGTGATGCAGGACTTACCCCTGCAAGGATGGTTATTTAAAAATGTCAAAAATAAATGGAACCTGAATGGAAACTTTCTGGTGTCTTCCATGATTGATCAACCTGTTTTAGACATTTATACATCAGAAGTCTCTAGAAATCTGCCTCCTGGGTTCAAGCAATTCTCCTGCCTCAGCCTCCTGAGTAGCTGGAACTACAGGGACCCGCCACCATGCCTGGCTATTTTTTGTATTTTTTGTAGAAACGGGGGTTTCACCATGTTGACCAGGCTGGTCTTGAACTCCTGACTTCAGGCAAACCATCCGCCTCAGCCTCCCAAAGTGCTCAGATTGTAGACATTAGTCACTGCACCTGGCCTGAAATTCTGATATAAGCATAAAATGTGTAATGTTCAAATCATGGTAACAGGAATAGCCACCATCTCAAGAATTTATCATTTCTTTGTGTTAGCAACATTCCAATTCCATTGTTTTAATTATGTAGAAATTTACTATGAACTATTGTCAACACGAGTTGCCCTATTGTGCTACTGAACCCTAGATCTTATTCCTGTCTGTGTTTTTGTTCCCATTAACCATCCCCTTCTTATTCTCTATTTCCCAGTACCCTTCCTAGCTTCTGATAACCGTCATTTTACTATTTTTAAGTTTCGTGTTTTTTAATTCCCAAATATGAGTGCAAACATGCCATGTTTGTCTTTCTGTATCTGGCTTACTTCACTCAACATAACGCCCTCCAGTTCCATCCATGTTGTCGCAGATGACAGGATTTCCTTCATGTTTACAGCTCAATGATATTCTGTTGTGTATATTTACCACATTTTCTTGATCCATTCATCTGTTGATGGACACTTATGTTGATTCCAAATTTTGGCTATTGTGGATAGTGCTACAATAAATAGGAGAGTGCAAGCTGAGTGCAGTGGCTCATGCCTGTAATCCCAGAATTTTGGGAGGCTGAGGCAGGTGGATTACTTGAGGTCAGGAGTTCGAGACCAGCCTGACCAACATGGTAGTGTAGATATCTCCTGGATATATTTCTTTTTTTTTTCTGGATATATATCCAGCAGTGGGATTTATGGTTTATATGGTAATCCTATTTTTATTTTTTGGAGGAAACTCCATGCTGCCTTCCTTAGTAGCTGTACTAATTTACATAACTACCAATGTTGTACCAGGGTTCTCATTTCTCCATATTCTTCATAGCATCCATTATTTTCTGTTGGTTTTTTATGGGGGAGATCCCCTTACTATTAAAACTCAAATCCAGTTTGGTGTAAACACAGAAACCCTGCTAGAGTTGCCTGCCACCCTTGAAACAGGCCATTGGAATGAAAATTGTCCACCTATGCACCAGGTCTCTATTGGACAGAATGCTTTTGTCCCAGAGGTTGTTCACATTAGAGGACATTTCTTTTTTGTTTTTCTTTACTTTTCTGCCTTTTTTTTTTTTTTTAAGGTAGAGTTTCACTATTGTTGCCCAGGCTGGAGTGCAATGGTGGGATCTCAGCTCACTGCAACCTCCACCTCCCGAGTTCAAGCGATTCTCTTGCCTCAGCCTCCCAAGTAGCTGGGATTACATTCATGCACCACCACAGCTGGCTAATTTTGTGTTTTTAGTAGAGACAGGGTTTCTCCATGTTGGTTAGGCTGGTCTCGAACTCCCAACCTCAGGTTATTCCACCACCTCAGCCTCCCAAAGTGCTGGGATTACAGGCAGGAGCCACCACATCCAGCTAGAGGACATTTCTGATGTCTCCATATTGATGGAATTTAAAATAACTCTCTGGTAAATTGTTTTCTATAATAGCCTTAAATAAAAATGGAGAAGGTGAGATTAAGATCATTGCAGACTTAGGTACAGAATTGGTGGAAACCAGGGCTGCCATATCCAGTGTACAGCCAATATATCAGCAAATCCCTTGGAGAAAGGAAAATATTTCTGAGGAGGGGTTTCACATGAAGTTCAGAAAATTCCTGTGTTTGAAGCAGTCCAAATGACATTTGGACCATTTTTAGGAAAGTATGGCTTTTTATTAAGTGACAACATGGGGATGAGATTTGCTTTCTCCGTTAAGTTGATGCGTAAAGCTTTCTTTGGAGGGAGAGAAAACCCTAGAGTTTCCTGACCTTCCTTAACCTGAACTGCTTGGTTCCCTAGAAGCAGAAATTGATCATATTAGAACCCAAACTCATACCAACCTTGACTTTCATGAAGTACTCAAGTGTTTCTGCTCTTCTTCCTCATGTGATGTAGAAAGTATTAAAAGTGATGAGTTTAGGCCGGGCACGGTGGTTCATGCCTGTAATCTCAGCACTTTCAGAGGCCGAGGTGGGTGCATCACCTGTGGTCAGGAGTTCCAGACCAGCCTGGGCAACATAGTGAAACTCTGTCTCTACTAAAAATACAAAAACTAGCTGTGTGTGGTGGCCTGTGCCTGTAATTCCAGCTAACTGGAAGACTGAGGCAGGAGAATCACTTGAACCGGGAGGCAGAAGTTGCAGTGAGCTGAGATCGCACCATTGCACTCCAGCCTGGAAAACAAGAGTGAAACTCCATCTCAAAAAAAAATTAATAAATAAATACATTATAAATAAATAAATTAATTAATGCTTTAAAGAAAAAAGAAATAAACTTTGCCTACAAGTTTCATATGCAATTGAATACCTCTTAAATTTTGATGTGAACCGACCAGGCATGGTGGCTGAGGCCTGTAATCCCAGCACTTTGGGAGGCCAAGGCAGACAGACCACGAAGTCAGGAGATTGAGACCATCCTAGTTAACATGGTGAAACCCCGTCTTTACTAAAAATACAAAAAATTAGCCAGGTGTAGTGGCATGCACCTGTAGTCCCGGCTATTTAGGAGGCTAAGGCAGGAAAATTGCTTGAACCGGGGAGGCAGAGGTCGAAGTGAGCTGAGATCGTGCCACTGCATTCCAGCCTGGTGACGGAGCGAGACTCCATCTCAAAAAATAAATGAATAAAATAAATAAATCAATAAAAATATTGTGACAGGAACCAACATTGCTCAACTTGTACACTAATGTCTTACAAAATCCTTTCCTTGTCACCTTCAAATCTCCATTTCAAATGCTACACTCTGCATAACTCTACCACTTTGTTGCCATTTTCTGATGATGGAGAAGACCATACATGTGTGTGTGTGGCATCAGAACTATTGACTCCTCCTATTGATGTTTAAGATATTCCATTACACAAACCTGGGTTCATACTTTTTGTTGATAGATCTTATGCCAAAAATGTAGGCAAAAAATGCCAAGCAGGAAATGCTATCACTTCTGAAGATGAATTC